>NC_000015.10:84926126-85077641 GCF_000001405.40 Homo sapiens | reverse complement strand
GCCCTGTCACCTGGTGGATTGACTCCAGCTTTGACTGACTGCTGCCGGCTGCCCTTGAGCAATTATTTATGGAGATCCTCTGCGGGCAAAGATGAAGCTGTCTTCCTCTGGGGAGGATTTATATTTGCTTCTGCCAGGCACTTAGGAGTCCTACTCATCCAGAAAACTTGAAACTAAATTCATGGCTTGAGATTTCTTGACTACCTTTCTTATACTAACCTGGGCTACAAATCTGCCCAAGGGTCAGCCTTATTTAAGTTCTCTCTGTATGATTCCTAAGGCCTCATTTGCAGCCAGCTGACCAAAGCCCCAAGCAACCTTTTGGCTTAGGGAAACCAAGAGATTGAAGCTGGGAGTGGAGAGAAAGAGAGCTGTGTTTGGGCTGCCTTATTTCCAGAATCCTTGAACTAGCTTAAAAAGTTGCATGTATACATGTCAGCATCATAACAATACATCCTGTGGTATAATTTTTAGTGAAAATGCCATTAAAGGAGATTTTATTATGTTTAGATGACCTTAGCAGGCATAGTTTTGAGAGACTATGAACTATTATAGATTAGATTAGCAGATTATAAAGTTAAACCAAACTGTAAAACAAGGACAGTAATTTTTTTTTTAAGTACGATTGAGGCAGGTTCTCCTTATGTTGCCCAGGCTGGTCTTGAACTCCTGGGCCCAAGGGGTCCTCCTACCTCGACCTCCCAAAGTGCTGGGATTACAGGTATGAGCCACCACGCCTGGCCAGACAATTTTTTTTCTTCAAATTAATACAAAGCTTTTGCTGGGTACTGAACTGAGATAAAATAATTTCTCAAATTGAATTATACTTGTATAACAAATAAGTGAGTACATACCCTTGTAAATCCAGCAGAAATGAAAGGCATTACGGACAACTCTTCTCTATCCACCCTTCAAAATAACACAGTAAAGAACATAGACATAGTTTTTATCAATTACATCTCACCTCTTTTACTCTACTAATTTAAATAATACTTCGTTATGTAATGAGTACTTTTAGATGAATCAGATTAATATACAAATTTAAAGGATAAAGTTGAAAACTGTTTTCTGTTTCAATTTCACATTTAGCTTTTTGGAATTATATATTATAATACTTGAAATACACAAACTACATTAATAGCAGGAATACAGGAGTGTTCATATATCTTTTTAATATATAAAATTTTTAATTTAAACTACTCCTATTTTCTTCTACTTCCAGGTTTTTTTTTTAATTCCTTTCTCCCCTACAGCTCAGGAAAAAACTTTAAAGTACATAGAAACATTTCTTCTATGTATAAAAACATATAAGCTAAATAACATTAATTTGAATACTTGCCCTTCTCCTAATATATTTCTCTTCTTTCCTTACCTCCAATTTAAAGACAAAACCTAAGATTCCCCCCTCAGAGATATTTGGAGTTAGAAGGCCCTAGGAAGATACCCCTGGAAAACATTCATACTTTTAGGAATGGAATTCTCTCATAGTTCGCCTGTTTCTAAAGTGAAAGGCAGTTTAAAAATCACAAAAATCTAGCATGAGAGCACAAAGTCCTTCCAGGAAGTTAACTGAAGCAGCAAAATAAAATAAAGAATAAAGAAGAGAAGGCCACACTACAAAGGGGCATGCCTGACACAGCATGCAAGCTGTTATTTGGCCATCTGTTAAGAGCAAGTATTACACTGGTACCTCAATTTCAACATTAAAAAAATGAAAGTTTACCTGCGTACTACACCAACAATAACTGTGTTTTCTGAGAGTTTTGATGATCTGATAGACCTTAAAAAAAACACAAAACTTTAAAATAAATATAAAAATAATCCTTAAAAACCAAATATACTTAAACAATTACAACAATTAAAGTTGGAAGAGGGGTAGAAGGGAGAGTAAATGATCCCCTCACTCTCTGAATTCACTCACCTTCTTGACTACTTGATCTTTCTCTCTTTTGGGGGCAAACTCCCACTCAGTGGACTGTGTTAACTGTAATGATTATGGAGTATGAATTAACAGCTAACTAAGATGACATGTATTCTACTTGTTCTGATCTTTGTTAACCTGCATTGTTTCAGGCGGAGTATTTTCCCTGCTTTGTGCTTACATGAAAGAAGCCGTTGGTCTCTTCTTCCAAAGGAAAATGCAAGTTTATGTCTATTACCACAAGATGATGGCTATGCTTACAACGGGGATAAAGGAGCCCAAGGGCTGGCTCCACTGCATTCTAAGGAGCACAAAGGATGAAGAGTTACTAGGTAAAATGGAGGCTAAATAACCAAAAATAATCCAAAACTAGGAAATGCAAGATATTGTAATCGGTCAGAAAGAAGAGCATCAACACCTCATGAAAAGGTTAAGAACAGAGGACTGGTCTAGAAAAGTACAAGAGACTGTTCGACTAAAGTTACCCAAAGAGTACAAGACTTCCCATACAGAGTAAATTCAACCCTTTTGCAGAAGCAGCTTTAGAGGCCATGGGGAATGAAAATACAGCCAAAATATCAGAGCAGAAATAAATGTGACATAGAGTAAAAGAAAGAAAAGAAGTGCTCCACTGGAGATATGCAACAGCTTTGAACTCATCCTACACTGGGAGAAGCGAGCAGACTCTAGAGAAGAACAACTCCACTGGAGAAGAAAGGAACTCACCCCAGACCCAGAGGAAGACGACTTATGTTGGAGAGGGACTCTAAAAGGAGGAGAATGTAGAGGAACATAACCAGACTGCCCTAGTCAAGTCAAAGGTGAGCTGGCCTCCTGGAGAATGTGTCTAGGATGGCACAGAAACCAGTCAAGACTGACTGCATTTGCTTCAGCTGTTAGTTCAAGGTATAGAGCCACTTCTGAATCACAAAATCCAGAAAATAATTTGAGTGACTAGTTCTCAAGTCTCTCAAAGATGGTATACAACATAACCATTCCAGATGCGTAAGAGATTCATCATGCACGATGGATGCCCCCATCTTTTTGAGACAGGTTCCTATTTGTCACCAGGCTGGAGTACAGTGGTGCAATCACAGCTCACTGCAGTCTTGACCTCCTGGGCTCCAGCTATGAGTAGCTGCGACCAGCTGGCACATGCCACTGGCTAATTTTTTTATTTTTTGTAGAGACGAGGTCTCACTACATTGCCCAGGCTGGTCTCAAACTCCTGCATTCAAGCAGTCTCCTGCCTTGGCCTCCCAAAGTGCTGGGATTACAGGCGTGAGCCAGCACACTCAGCCAAATGCCCCCGCCCCAGTCTTAGCAAACTTTTCTGTAAAGGGTCAGGGAATAAATATTTTAGGCTTTGCAGGCCATATGGACTCTTGTCACAACTACTCAACTCTACCACTGTAGCACAAAGGCAGTCACACATAATACACAAATGAATGGGCAAGACTGTGTTCTCCTTTGCCCATTCTTGCCTGTAGGGATTCGGGCTTCATTTTCTTATGGAATCCAGGTTGAGAAAGGCTGAATCTAACAACACATGCAGAATAGGCCAGGGGTAGGGAAGTTGCTCAGGAATGGAAAAGCAGCTCTAGCGACCAGCCAGTCTCTCTCATGTTCACTTCTTCCCCACCCCCTCAACATCCCTGCTTTTCTGTGTTCACTCTGTACTCCTCTAGCATCCACCTGCCTATCCTCTCCAGAGGGAGCCAACCTAAGGGTGCTGCATGGCTCTGCTGGAAGACCCCTTGCAGACACGCCACCTCAGGGCTTACTGGCCAGGTGTCAATCCCCAGTTCAACCCTGGTCCCCCTGACTGGGGAGAGCAGGCAGGCTCAGCTTCCTGGGGAAGAGCTATGGGAAAGGCTGCTTAGGCCTGGAGGGGTCACTGGCACAACAGACACTCACAGACACAGCTAGTGCACTCATCACACCTGCTGACTAATACTCATCCTAACACTGATCTCAAACAGGGAATAAGGCGTGACTCACAAATGGTATTTTCATCACTTCTAGTGACACTGTATCTGTCCTGTGTTTACATTTCCATCATATCACAGAGATTTGGAAGGAGAAAGGGCAAATTTAAGTATGTAGCCATTTCAAACCAGCTTTCAGCTTTTTAGAAGAAAAATCAAGATGGGAGTGATGTAATGGCAAGTAGGCAAGTAGGTAGGTGATCTCACTAAGGAGCTTTGAATGAACTACTCCTATCTGGAGACACAAGAATGAGAAGCACTGGATTAAGGATAAAGTGGAAGGGAGGACCTTGTTTACCTGGAGATAAGCCCTTAAAAACAGCTCTAAAACTGTATAAAAAGGTAGAGACATACTGGGACCTTTTCTGGTGCATATGAAGGAAGAACGGGCTAGAAAACAGAAATGTCAGGAAACTGAGTTGAAAAATAACATCCTTGCATTGGAATTCATGAAAACTAGGAAAGAAATTACTTGGCATTATTGAAATGTATACCTGAATGTTCAGGAAGTCAGAATTCAAGAAGGTCACGAAAAAGATGGAGTGCGATCCTGTAGAATGAGATTCTGAAAGCAGTGTTAAGTACTCAGGGAAGTCCCCACCCACCCCACTTTTTTTTTGAGACAAGGTCTTGCTCTGTCGGCCAGGCTCAAGTGTAGTGGTGTGATCATGGCACACTGCAGCTTTGACCTCCTGGGCTCAAGTGATCCTCTCACATCGGCCTCTCAAGTAGCTGGGACTACAGGCAAGTGCCAACCATGCTTGGTTTATTTTTTGATGTTTTGTAAAGATAGGGTTTCACCATGTGGCTCAAGCTGGTCTCGAACTCCTGGGCTCAAGCAATCTGCCTGCCTTGGCCTCCCAAAGTGCTGGGATTAGAGGTGTGAGCCACCAAGCCCGGCCTCACTGGGAAAGTCTTAAAAGCATGCTACTTGGTTTACCATTAGGAATCCTTTTGGCCACACAAGATAGAAAACACCAGAGAAGAGTGGTTTAAACAGTATCTGTCTCACACATCAAAAATGTGCAGAGGAGACAGTCCAGGGCTGCCATGGACTCTGCAGGATCAGGAACCTAGCTCCTACCAGTGTTTCTCTACTATTGTCTGTACATGAGGTTTCTTCCTCATGGTCCAAGACAGATACTGAACACTAGCCATAATGTCCACATTCCAGATAGCAGGAAAAAGGGAATGCTCCTTCCCTAAGTATACTTTCCAGAAGATACACATGATAGGTCCATTGGCCAGCTGTAAGAAAAACTAGGGAATGCAATCTATTTTCTAGGTAGCCATATGCCCAGCTACACATCAGAGATTCTGTTATTAGGAAAAGAATAGAAATGGATACTGGGGGCAACTACCAGACTCAAGCTACTCTAGGCAACTACAAATAATTCTGATAATGGTCTCAACACAACACTGGAAAAAAGGCCACATAATGGAGGCTCACTATAAGAACATAGCCCAGCCCTTTAATGAGTTAAGTTTCACAAAAGCACAACTCCATTACTTGTGCTTTGCTATTTTTCTCTGCCATGTGGAATGAGTTTCAGATGAAAAAGAATGGGATTTATAATGGTATAAAGGATCTGCACACCAAGGTGAATCAAGAAATTGTATAAAAGCATCTGGTGCTCTGAGTTCAATCTTGCTTCTGCATTCAACATAGATTTTAATTCTGTTAATGCGTTTTGGGTTTTCAAGTAGTACTTTTTTTATTTCCTCTATATCCCTTTATGAGATCTTCCCTTTTATTACAGAGACCTACTCCTGTTGCACCAAGAAATACTGCTGCACCTCTTCTGAGTCCACTAAGCATATGTCTTCAAAAGGTTCTACAGTGTCTTATAAAAAATAATTTTCTTAGTCTTCAGGGCTGTTCTTTCCCCCCTCATTATGTGGTGGCACTTTTCACAGGCCCCCCTTCTCATCCTGTTTACACACCCCTGAATGCAATTCGCATCTATGCAGGCTAAGAGTTTGCCAACAAAGAGGGTCACAAGAGTTTCCTTAGCACCTCTTCACTGAACCCTTGGTGTCAGCAGCTGTCCTCCTCTTAGGTCTGGGCGGTAGATCACATCAACAAGCACAGTTCGGGCTTGGAGAACACTGCCAGCAGGCATGCACAGGTCTGCTGCAGAGCGGGGCTCCTGGCCTGTTCTCTCTGATTCTCAAACTGAACCTGAGAACTGATGCAATTTGTTGTTTTGAAACTGCAGTATGTGGAGAACTGTCTTCAGGTTCCTTATACCTCTGTCCCTTCTTAAAACATAGTAGGAAAAACCATGTCTCTGTCCATATCCCTCTCTTCCTTACCTTGGGTTTCTGAGTAGATGCAGAAAGTAAAGAATCAGGGGCAGCAGGGATGGCAGGGGCAAGAGTGCAGGCCTCTGCCCAGCTCATAAAGCCTTGCTGCTCTGCTGGGGCTCAGTCATCTGTTTCTCTGGTTAGAGCAACTCCAGCATCCCAGGCTTGGCAGAACACAGTGGGAGTAAAGCAAAGCCTGTTTCCACTGCCTTCCTTTATGGCCACTGGTATTTCAGCTTCAAAGACTGAAGTGCTTGAGGCACAGTTCAGAAACAGGCTTCTTTATTAGTCTCCACGGTACGACAGATACAGTAGAGATTCCTATCCTTTTCTGTTCTCTCAGCTTCTGACCTATCATCTTATCTTTGTGGGTTTTTATTTATTATTGCTATGGTCAATTTTTGTCTCTTTTTCCCTCTTCATGGGTTTTTTGATAGGAAGTTGGGAGGAGACATTGATATCAAGTGCTACAGTGGGAATATGAAGCTATACTCTGTTAGGAACTACTGGATGGCCTCTAGCAGCCTCACAACTGATTGATTTGCCTCATCTCCTCCAGTTTTCTACTCCATTCTCCACTTGGCAGCCAAGTTATTTTTCTATCCTGCTCAACACTTTCCTGCGCAGAATCTATCAGTGTTTCAACTACCTACGGGGTAGAGTCCACAGCCTTTGGCTTAGCACACAAGGCCTTCATCATTTGGTTCACGTCTGCTGTTCCAACCTCCCCTGACACCTACTCCACATCTGCCTGACCAGCAGCCATCTAGCACTGAGCAGAGGTGCCCGGATGTCCTGCCTGTTTCTACACATGCCGCTCCCTCTACCTGGAACATTTTCTCCACCTTTTTTCCTTTCAAAACTCCTGCTCATCCTTTAAGATGCAACTCAAGTATCCTCTTGCGAAGCCCTCTTTGACACAGGCACCCACAACACTCTGCGTAAACCTCTTCTGCGGGCACTTACAAGCCTATACCGAAATCACTCACTTTCCCTGCTAACTAAAGTATTAGCTCCTCAGAGACAAGAAGCACATCTTACTCATCTATGTAGCTCTAGTACCAAATGCAGTGCCCAGACCTGAGGAGACTTACAACGTAGGGTTCCTAAACTGGTAGATTTGGAAATATAATAGACATAGAATATTTGCTGTTAGCAAGGCATCTCATAAGGAGTGTAAGGAGTTCCAAATGCCCCCAACAGAGAGATACAGGTGAATGCTAGTCATTTAGACAGGTCAACAACCGATGAAAAGCTCTCCATAGGCAGTGTTGATTAGGTATCCCAAAAGGGAAGATGAAGGGAAGGACAGAATTCTGCAGGGCTAAGGTCTCAAGAGCCATGTAAGTCAGCTCAGAGACAGGGCAAGCTGGTTCGGGGGTGGGGAGCCTGGAAAGATTTCTTGAACAGTCCAAAGTGGGCGGGCATCCTTAAAGGGATGATCTTAAGGGAGATAAGCCAGGTAAGGGCCAGAATGAAGACAAAACTGATTAGGAAAATAAATCAGGGTCTGCTCTTGCCTCTAGAAAACTCACTACGATTAGCACAAGGACCCATCCCTACCCCAAATCCTCACCCAACAAGATGGAGATGACGTGGTAGAAAACAGCTTGTGAGAAACACTTGAGATTCTTGACCAAGGCTGTGATGTGGCCATCAGGAAATAAATGTGATCGGGGATTACATTTGTAAAGGCCTGCTCTCTCTGGCTAGCACAGTGGAGGGGACTGTTCTGCTTACTTGTCACTGGTTCCCCTAAACCTAGTGTGAGCTTTTCGGTTCTGGAGCCATGCTTACAAGGTCTATCAATCAGAAAAGGGTACTCAGGGGAAGCACCCTTGATGTGGTGGGAATATGAAACCAGGATCTGTTAGGAGCCACTCATAGCAGTAAGGGTGTGCTCAGTTCAGAAAAGGAAAGATGTCTGGGGTGGGGGGACACAATTCCTGTCCTCCAGTGTTGGAAGTCCATTCTGGGGAAGAGGAATAATAGCTCTGTTCTAGCAATCCTGTGCGCCAACTGTGGACAAAGTTGGGTTCAATATAAAGCAAAGCTTCTAAATCTCAGGGTTTCACTTAGTGAGCCCCAGGTCCTGAGGAGAGGCTGGATGGAGAGTGCTAGGCACTTCATAGAGGAGAGGCACATCTGACATTCTCTGCTTCTCTAAAACCATATATTAAAGCAATCCAGTTCCCATTCTTTACTTTAAAACTATATAAAATTGTTATTTACATGACGAAAGAACTCTGATTAACTATAGTGCTTATGGAATTTGGTATTTGTGTGAGTTTTTAACTGAGCACGTAACATTACTTTTTTTCATTGAAATATTTCAGCTCCTCTAGTCTATAAGCTCATAGAAGACAAGAACTTCATTTTATAACTTTCAGTCTAAAACATTCTCTTGTACATAGCTCAATAAAAATCTGCTGAATGAATTAACCCTATTTGTTTAGAATATTCCTAAAATGTACAGCAATAGTACATTTTCTTCCCTTAAAAAGTGGAACATAAAGTTAATGTTATGTTTCTTTTACCACAATTTTTAACAGTGGAGCGTAACCAACACAATTTAAATTTTCTTTTACAATACAAGATGCTCTAGTAGTCACCTTTAAAAGTATGAACTTTCATTGCCTAGCACATACCTGTGGCTAGGCTTGGGCCTGGACAAGACTAGGAAAGAGGCCAAATTTTCTCCAGCCCCTCACCCTGTCCTCCCTCTTCTATCTCGGCAGCCATTTGGCCCACCTTAGACACCTCTACTGCCTTGCAACATTCCACCATGACTACCAAGCACCATGTAATTTAGATATCATCTTCCCTTCCTCTGAGTGGTATCTATTCAATGTTAGGGATAAAAGGGATACTGGAAACCAAGTGTTCCAAATTTACAGCTGAGCTAAAACATCCCCAGAGAAGGCAGAGTTACCCAGAGACAAGCAGCTATCCAGGAAGAGCCAAACAAGGACCTGGACCTCCCTTTTTCCTGGCCGGAGCTCTCTCCATTTCTTTTGGGCTGCAATCCCCCATGAATGTGCTGGGTGACTGGCCAAATGACATGTCAAGAAATCTGGGGTAGGGCGGGCACAGTGCGGTGGCTCACACCTGTAATCCCAGCACTTTGGGAGGCTGAGGCAGATGGATCACTTGGGGTCAGGAGTTCAAGACCAGCCTGGCCAATATGGTCAAACACCGTCTCTATTAAAAATACAAAATTAGCCAGGCATGGTGGTGTGCGCCTGTAATCCCAGCTACTTGGGAGGCTGAGGCAGGAGAATCCCTTGAACCCTGGAGGTGGAGGTTGCAGTGAGCTGAGATCGAGCCTTGCACTCCAGACTGGGTTACAGAGTGAGACTCCGTCACAAGAAAAAAAAAAAGAAATCTGGGCTACAATGATGATGGCTTATTGTGAAGTCATGCAGATTGAAACAGATGAGGAACACAGGCACATTTCAGGCACTAGATCAAGGCCACAGGAGAAACTACTGGAGGCAAGTCATGGAAGGGTAAACGCTACCTAGTCTGACTACCAGGAGTGTAGAGTTCTCAACACCAAGGAAACAAACCCATGTTGACGTCACCACATACCCCATAAATAATCTTTTAATATGTTGTCATTTGCTTGTCACCTCGGTTTTTAACCCATGGGTTTTTAATCTACTTAGCTTATATCTTTTCTCTCTCTTAAAAGTCAAGATTTTAAATGTCCTTAAAATTAATATGTCATAAAATTTTATATTTGCCTTGCTTCCATCAGCAACAAATAACTTTCTTTAAAAGGCATTTTTTAGGTTTAGGTCACTACAGAGAATTCTCTCATAATATTGACAAGGTGCAAGTATAATAAATAAAGCCCATTCATCGAACATTAAAAGACAATTTTCAAAATTTTTAAAACTTTGAAAACAATCTGAAAAATTATAATTCTTACTGCACTAATATACAAGTGATACTTGTGGTTAATTACATTTTGGGTTTCACTTTGACCCTTAATAATTCTTATTATTCACATTTTCTTACTGTTTCAAGTAAAGTGAAGCAAGACAAAACAAAAGAGATATGCATCAGTCCTATAAATAGTGAGGTTCTAATATTTTGTTTATTTCACATGCATGGAAAGCAACTTAAAAGAGAGTGAGTCTAATTTAATCTATTTCTAGGCTGCATGTATTGTCAGAAAGGCCAATGGGACTATTTAGGCCCGAGTCTTGGGCTTACCTGCACAGTGCCTCTGCATCCAGCTGTCGAGGATTTCTGTGGTCTATGATGATAATGTCATGATGTTTGTCCAGGAAACAGGCAAGGACAGCCTGAGCCTCCTTGGTAACTGTACACTTAAACCCTGCTTTTTCACATGCCCTGCAGAATCCATTACATTGGTTATCTTCTTTGGTAAACACTAAAAGTACCTGAATCAAAAGAGCACAAACACTTTTTTTAAAAAAAGATGTTAGAATTGTCATTTCTTACACTTTTTTTTTCTTGAGACAGAGTCTTGCTCTGTTGCTCAGGCTGGAGTGTAATGGCATGATCTTGGCTCACTGCAACCTCTGCCTCCCAGGTTCAAGTGATTCTCCCACCTCAGCCCTGCCGAGTAGTTGGGCCACAGGCACATGCCACCATGCCCAGCTAATTTTTGTATTTTTAGTAGAGACGGGGTTTTGCCATGTTGGCCAGGCTGATTTCGAACTCCTGGCTTCAAGTAATCCTCCCACCTCAGCCTCCCAAAGTGTTGGGATTACAGGCGTGAGCCACCGCGCCTGGTCAGAATCGTCATTTCTGTGTGTGTGTGTGTGTGTGTGTGTGTGTGTGTGTGTGTGTGTGTGTGTGTGTGTGTGTTTTGGGGGGATGGTGGGTGGGCAACAGGGTCTTCCTCTGTTGCATGGGCTGGTGTACAGTGGTGTGATGTCAGCTCACTGCAACCTCCACCTCCAGGGTTCCAGTGTTCTTGTACCTCAGAGCCCCCAGTGGCTGGGAGATTACAGGTGTGCGCCACCACATGCCCGGCTAATTTTTGTATTTTCAGTAGAGATGGGGTCCCTCCATGTTGCCCAGGCTAGTCTAGAACTCCTGGACTCAAGTGATCCACCTGCTGTGGCCTCCCAAAGTGCTGGGATTGCAGGTGTGAGCCACTGCACCTGGCCATATGCCTACTTTTTTGCTAAGAAACCCACTGGCAGAACTCAACAAAGATTTAGTTAAGCATTTTATCTTGAAACTAAAAGAATTAAAACACATTAATATTTATTTTAGCTGAAAGAAAGTTAACTGGGTAAGTTCTCAGATGGTGAATGCTAATATCTTGGTGAAATTATTAGAATACTTAATCCTATAAATAATGTATTGAAATGTTTGACTCAAGATTTTATGTAATTCCTCCAAGTTAAAAAAAAAATTGCTTTGATTAAAAGAAGAAAGATTTAAAGTAGACCAAAATGTGACACTTCAAAGCCTATCAGTTAAGTGACACAGTCACCAGGTGCAAGAGGTAGCATCTGTGCCTCTGCCCAGGACAGTGGCTGGCTGCCCCAATCACGTCAGTCCTGGCCTGGAGCAAGCGAGGCCTGTATCCATAGCGTCTTCCTTATCCAGCCAGCCTCCTTCCCTCTCTCTCCCTGCTATTCCCACTCCCAATCTGGTTCAGGAGCACCCGTGCTCCATCCCTTCAGAAGCAGACTGAAAATGGGGCAACAGTGGTAAGGAGGAGATGGGCAGCCTGTGAAACAGACTGCAAAGCTATCAGAAACCCTCCTAAGGCTTATTTCTTCCGAGTTTACTCAACTACACAAAGACCATACATGCAAAGAACTAAGAGCACACATTTCTGTCAGCACTTCTCATATATTTTTAAATGTAATAGTGAATGAAACATGTTCATGTGCGGGGAGCATGGATAACTTCGCTGAATTTCAATTGGTTGTTTTCTTTTTTTTTTTTTTAATTATACTTTAAGTTTTAGGGTACATGTGCACATTGTGCAGGTTAGTTACATATGTATACATGTGCCATGCTGGTGCGCTGCACCCACTAACTCGTCATCTAGCATTAGGTATATCTCCCAATGCTATCCCTCCCCCCTCCCCCCTCCCCACCACAGTCCCCAGAGTGTGATATTCCCCTTCCTGTGTCCATGTGATCTCATTGTTCATCAATTGGTTGTTTTCTGTCTCATATTTTGAATTAGATAAATTACAGATATCTTCTCTCTGACAGAGCTGATTCAGCAACATTGAAAAGACAATCTTTTTACTTTTTATATTGGAAAATTTCAAATCTACAGAAACGTGAATGAAAATGAACACTAAACATGCCCTTTCTCTACATTCATCAATTAACATTTTGCCACCTTTGCTTTGCTTTCTCTCTCTCTCTAAACACATACATGTACATACATACAATTATACACATTTTTTATTTATTGCTGAACCAATTTTTTTTCTTTTGTTTGTTTGAGACAGGGTCTCACTCTGTTGCCCAGGCTGCAGTGCAATGGTGTGATCATGACTCACTGCAGCCTTGACCTCCCGGGCTCAGGTGATTCTCCCATCTCAGCCTTCCAAGTAGCTGGGACCACAGGCACACACACCCCCATGTCCATCTAATTTATTGTTGCTGTTGTTGCAGAAACTGGGTCTCCCTATGTTGCCCAGGCTGGTTTCAAACTCCTCAAGGACTCCTCAAGCTCAAGAGATCCTACTGCCTCAGCCTCCCAAAGTGCTGGGATTATAGGCATGAGCCACCGTGCCTGACCTATTGCTGAACCAATGAAAGTAGGCTACAAACACTTCTTCATCTCTAAACACCACAATGTGTATTTCTAAGAACAGGATATTCTCTTATATAACTATAATACTGTTACAGAGTTCAGGGAATTTAACATTGGTCCAAACACTATTATCTAAATGAAAGACTATTTTAAATGTGTAAATTTAGCTCCACCTCCACCCTTTTTAAAGAAAATCAGCATGTGAAAAATACAGCATCGTTCATTATTACCTGAAGTTGATCTTGATGAAATCTCATGGGGCCAAACTGCACATCAGCTACTGCTACCTGTAAGAAAGAGATTGGCTTAAAAATGAAAAGACAACGGAGAAAGAGAAGCTTAACTTTTTCTCTCTCTAAACAGTGCCAAAAATGAAAGCAAAATTTCTATTCTAGAGGCAAATAAAGTAAATAGTAGATAAATGAAATGATTATGAGGAATCCTAAGGATCTCCTTATAGCCCCCAGGAAAAGTGGGGAGCAGGAAAGGAGAAATAAAATGAACAAATAAAATGAATGTGATTCTGGCTTTGCCTTTTACTAGCTACATGTGACTTTAAGTGAATTAATCTTCCTCAGCCTCAACTTCTCATTTGTTAAAGGCCAAATGAGATGACAATATAGAGAGCCCCCCAATAATAGATACTAAATAAACGCTGATTCCCTCTGTGCCTATTTCCATTTTTTTCCTGATGGACAATGAAATCTTACACCCAAATGGCACATGAATAATGCAATCCAGCAGTCAGAACCATGGAATGTCATTGAAAAATGGTTGACACTTTCTATTTTACAGAGGAGCATAATAGCACTTACTGTAAGTACTTATCCATTTGAGAATGTAATGCTAAATCAAAGATAAATGTAATATCATAACCAAACCCCAGTGAGTAATAACAATCACAGCACCAATGGAAGACTTAGTGTGTTCTGGTTACTGTGCTAAGGGCTGCACATGTTATTTCACTGAATCTGATAGTAATGTGGTGAGAGTTTATAGCTAGAAAACTGAAGTTCTAAGTACCCTGCATTAAGACCACACAGCAAGTGGTAGTGCTGGGATTCCACCCAGGTTTGTTTAGCTCCATACACTGTGCTGTAAACTCAGGACCACCAGAAGATTTGAATAGCCTGTATACAACACAAAGGGGCCCAAGGAAGGGAGAAGGTGGGACTGAAAACCAGCTCCAGGTGATGAATTCTGGCACTGGGCTGCTACCCAGGGGAAGAGACACATTTTGTAATTTGCCCAGTGACTCTGTAGGTGTTGATGAGATCCCAATCTGGGCCTCTGTGTGATGGTATGATTCGTCACAGCAACAGAAGAACTAGATCCATAAGACTTCCTACAAAATGTTTCCCAACTGACTGCCCTCCTCCAATCTCTCCCCTCAAACAGTGACCTATTCTAGTAAACACATTACGAAGTTTGCTTAGTGATGGGAGAAAAATCCACATATATTTTTAACCATGAGAAGCTGATGTCTAGTAATTATGGGCCACTGGCTCAGTTTCTGCATTGCTCTGCAATAATTTTATCTCTCAGAAGGCATAAAAAGAATGAGGGTCCCTAATATTCTAGACCAAAGACTGAGGAGGAAGATTCTTCAGTAGGGTGAAAGAGTCAGAACAGACAGTGCATGGTTATTACCTATTCTCTTGAGTTGTGTAACTATGGGCCAGTCTCATACTGGTGTAACTGGATGCCAAAGCCAGAATTTTTATGAGGGAAGATGGTCCAAGAGGTCCACAGGAGAGTCTTAAAAGATGGATTTAGAGAAGACAGTAGAGTAAGAAGCACCAGGAATCTGTTTCCCCACCTAGACAATATTGCACTGGCAGAATATGTCTGATGCAACTATTTTAGGAACAATTGAAGACGTGCAACTTCCAGGGGAAGGCTTGGATGGTAAACCGCAGTTAATTTTAGCTCTTAGCACATAGCAGGTACCCAGGCCCATGGTGGGCAGCTGTGCATGTGTTCCTAAAGCAACCTGAACACAACTTGCAGGACCCAGGGAAGGCAAAAACAACCATGTCCTCCAAATATCAGGGATCTGTGCTCTGATCACTGATACAGAGGTGCAGACAAAGAAGGGGTGCATTGTTGCACTTTCTCCCATTGTTGCAAGCCATTCCCCCTCCAGTTGAAGAGACTTCTAGGAGATTTAAAGGGCTAGTGCCCTTCCTCTCCTTTCATTTTTCTCTTTTATCCCCTTTGAGAGTCAGACATTAGGGACTAAGGCATTGAAAAGCAATGGCATATACAGGGAAAACTAGAAAGTGATTATGCAAGCCTAGGGAAAGGCTTAGAAAATGCCTGAGAAGACCTTGAGTTTACACATTAGACTGATCCTTGGCACAGAGATGGCCTACCACAATTAAAAACAAAACAAAACAAAACAATAACAGCAAATCCTGGGGAAGACGGAGAATGATTTCCAGAGTTACCACATTATTACATTCAAATGTCCAGTTTTCAACACAAATTCACAAAGCACACAAACAGGAAAGTACAGCCAATTCAAATGAAAAAAACTAAATCAACAGCAACCATCCCTGAAAGATACCTAATGGCAGATCTACTAGACAAAGACTTTACAACAACTTCAAGATGCTAAAAGAACTAAAGAAAGATGTGGAGAAAGTCAAGAAAATGATGTACGAACAACATGAAAATCTAAGTAAAGAGATGAAAAAAACTAAAAAGAAACCAAAAATAATTTCTGGAGCTGAAAAGTACAATAACTGGAATGAAAAATTCACTAAAGAGATTCAAAGGCAAATTTGGGCAGGCAAAAGAAAGAATGAGCACACTTAGAGAGGGGACAATTGAAATTATCGAGTCTGGGAAAGAGAAAAAACCTTTAAAAAAATAGTGAACAGAGCTTACAGTGCCTGAAGGACACCATGAAACAAGCTAATATATGCATCACGGGAGTCCCAGATGCTGAAGAGAAAGGGAAAGAAAAAATGTATGAAGAAAATATCCCAAACTTGATGTAGGACATAAAGAAGCTCAACAAACAATAAGTAAGATGAACTCAAAGAGACCCATATCAAGACACATTATAATGAAACTGCTCAAAGACAAAAAGAGAATCTTGAAAGCAGCAAGAACTGGGCGTGGTGGCTCACGCCTGTAATCCCAGCACTTTGGGAGGCTGAGACAGACAGATCACCTGAGGCCAGGAATTCGAAACCAGCCTGGCCAACATGGTGAAACCCCGTCTCTACTAAAAATACAAAAAAAAAAATTAGCTGGGTGTGGTGGCGGGTGCCTGTAATCCCAGCTACTCAGGAGGCTGAGGCAGGAGAATTGCTTGAACCTGGGAGGCAGAAGTTGCAGTGAGCCGAGACTGCACCATTGCACTCCAGCCTGGACAACAGAGCAAGATGCCATCTCAAAAAAAATAAATAAATAAAAAAGAAGAAAAATAAAAAAGAAAGCAGCAAGAAAGAAGCAACTGGTCACACACAAGAAATCCTCAATAAGATTATCAATAGATCTCTCATCAGAAACTTTGGAGGTCAGCTAATCGTCAATCAAAGATCCTATATTTGGCAAAACTTCATTCAAAAGTGAGGGAGGAATTAAGACATCTCCAGAATGAAAAACAAAAACAAAAACAAAAACAAAATAAAACAAACCAAAAAAACTAAGGGAGTTCATTACCACTAGATATGCCCTGCAAGAAATGTTCAAGGGAGTCCTGCAGGGTAAAATAAAAGGACACTAGACAGTAACTCAAAGCTGTCTGAAGAAATAAAGATCTCAATAAAAGTGAAACCATGGATAATTATAAAAGCTATTGCTATTGTATAAATGGCTTATAACTCCTTTTGTTTGTTTCCTACATGATTTAAGAGATGAATACAGTTTGGTGGAAAAAAAAAATCATTGGTCTAAAAGGAAGTATTATTGTAACTTTTGTGGGTAACTACATTTTGCATTTTATTTCCTAAATAAGAGACATTTGAAAGTATTAGTGTACGCTTTTGGGCACACAATGTACAGTTGTCCCTTGTTATCTGCAGGGAATTGGTTCCAGGAACACCCATATATATGAAAATCTATGGATGCTCAAGTACCTTATATAACATATTCCCATTCTCCTCTACGCTTTAAATTGTCTCTACTTACTTATAATACCTAATACAATGTAATGCTATGTAAACAGTTCTTAATGCTGTATTATTTTACATGTTTTATTTTTATTTTCCTAAATATTTTCAATCTTCAGTTGGCTGAATCCATGGACGTGGAACCCACCAATATGGAGGACCAACTACATAAAGCTTTAATTTTGTGACATCAATAACTGAAAAGGGTGGGAATAAAGCAGTATAGGAGTAGAATTTTTGTATGTTATTGAAGTTAAGCTGGCATAATTCAAATTAAATATTTATATAACATTAGGATGTTAACTATAATCCCCATGCTAACCATAAAGAAAGTAGCTACAGAATATACACAAAGGGAAATGAGAAAGGAATTTAAATATTGCATTACAAAAAATCAACTGAACACAAAAGAAGACAGTAATTAAAGAAATGGAAGACAGAAAAGCTATGTGACATACAGAAAAACAAATAGCAAAATGACAGAAGTTAAGTCCACCTTTATCAGTAATTATTTATTTATTTTTAGGGACAGGGTCCTGCTCTATCACCCAGGCTGGAGTGCAATGGCATGATCATAGCTCACTGTAGCCTTGAACTCCTGGGCTCAAGAGATCGTCCCACTTCAGTCTCCCGAGTAGCTGAGACTACAGGTATATGCCACCTCATCTGGTTAATTTTTAAATGTTTTGTAGAGACACAGCCTTGCTTTGTTGTGCAAGCTCAGTAATTACTTTAAATATAAATGGATTAAACTCTCCAATCAAAAGACAGAGATTGGCAGAATGAACCCATCTATATGTGGTCTATAAGACATTCACTTTAGATCCAAAGACAAAAATAGAAAGTGAAAGGATGGAAAAAGATACTCTAATAGTAATCAAAAAAGAGCAGGGGAAGTTATACTAACAGCAGACAAAATAGACTTTAAACCAAAAAAGGCTATAAGAGACAAAGGAGGACACTATATGTTAAACATTCAACAGAGTAACAAGATGTAACAATTATAAGCAATTATCTACCCAATGACAGACCATTAAAATATATAAAGTAAAAACTGACAGAATTGAAGGAAGAGACAGTTCTAAAATTATAGTTGAAGACTTCAACACCCCCCTCTCAATAATGGCTAGACTTAAGCAACACAATAAACCAACAAGATCTAATAGACATATACAGAATGTGCTACCCAATAACAACATATATATTTTCCTCAAGTGCACATGGGACATTCTCAAGGACAGACTACATATTAGGCCACAAATCAAAACTCAATAGATTTTAAAAGATAGATGTAACACAAAGTATCTTAAGGATAAAGTGAGAAATCAATAACAAAAGTAAAACTGGAAAATTCACAAAATTGTGGAAATTAAACAACACAATCTTAACTAACAGATCAAAGAAGAATACACAAGATAAATTAGAAAATACTTGGAGATGAATGAAAACAAAAACGCAACATACTAAAACTTATGGGATGTAGCAGCAAAAACAGGCTAAGGGGAACATTAATAGCTATAAATACACTAGAAAATAAGATCTCAAATCAACAACATAACTTTATAATTTAGGGAACTAGAAAAAGAGAAAACTAAACCCAAAGCTAGCAGATGGAAATAACGATTAGAGCAAAGATTAATACAATAGAGAATAGATAATACAGAAAAATCAAGGAAACCAAAAGCTGGTTCTTTGAAATGATCAACAAAATTGACAAACCTTTAGCAAGATGGAGAAAAAAATAAAAATGACTCAAATTACCAAAATTAGAAATGAAAGTAGGGACATTGCTACCAATTCTACAGCAATAAAAAGGATTCTAAGAGAGTACTATTAACACTTATACACCAACAAATTGGATAATCTGGATAAAATGGACAAATTCCTAGAAGCGCAAAAAGTACGAAGACCAAATCATAAAGAAACAGAAAACCTGAATAGATCTATTACTAGTAAGGAGACTGAATCAGTAATCAAAAATCCCCCAACAAAGAAAACCCCTGGACCCAATAGCTTCACAGGTGAATTCTACCAAGCATTTAAAGAACTAATACAATCCTTCTCAAACTTTTACAAAAAATTGAAGAGAAAGAAACACTTCCTAACTCATTCTATGACGCCAGTATTACCTTGATACCAAAGTTAGGGCCAGATGTGGTAGCTCACACCTGTAATCCCAGCGCTTTTGAGAGGCTAAGGTGGGAGGACTGTTTGAGGCCAGGAGTCAAGACAAGCCTAGGCAAAATAACGAGACCCTAACTCTATAAAAAAGAGAAGAAGAAGAAAAAGCTGGTCATGGTGGTATGCACCTATAATCGTAGCTACTCAGGAGGCTAAGGGAAGAGGATCATTTGAGCCCAGGAAGTCGAGGCTGCAGTGAGACAAGACTGTGCCACTACATTCCAACTTGGGCAACAGAGCAAGACCCTATCCCTTAAAACAAAACAATCATGCCACTGCATTCCAGCCTAGGTAACAAAGTGAGACTCTATCTCAAAAACAAAACAACGACAACAACAAAAGACACTAAAAGAAAATTACAGGCCAATATCCCTTATAAACACTGATGCAAAAATCCTCAACAAAATACTAGAAAACTGAATTCAGCAGCATAATAAAAGGATTATACACCATGACTAAGTGGGATGTATTCCTGAAATGCAAGGATGTATTGACATATGAAAATTGATCAGTGTAATACATTATTGTACAGAATAAAGGACAAAAGCCTCATTCATTATACCTCAAATAATGCAGAAAAGGCATTTAACAAAATTCAATATCCTTTCATGATAAAAACACTCAACAAAATAGAAATAGAAGGGAACTACCTCAACATTTAAAAAGCCATGTACGAGCACAGGAGGTTCCAAGATGGCCGAATAGGAACAGCTCCAGTCTACAGCTCCCAGCGTGCGCGACATGGAAGACGGGTGATTTCTGCATTTCCAACTGAGGTACCGGCTTCATCTCACTGGGGCTTGTCGGACAGTAAGTGCAGCCCATGGAGCATGAGCCAGAGCAGGGAGGGGCATCGCCTCACCCGGGAAGCACAAGGGGTCAGGGAATTCCTGGGTGGAGCCCACCACAGCTCAAGGAGGCCTGCCTGCCTCTATAGACTCCACCTCTGGGGGCAGGGCATAGCTGAACAAAAGGCAGCAGAAACTTCTGCAGACTTAAACGTCCCTGTCTGACAGCTTTGAAGAGAGTAGTGGTCCTCCCAGCACGGAGTTCGAGATCTGAGAACAGACAGTCTGCCTCCTCAAGCGGATCCCTGACCCCCAAGTAGCCTAACTGGAAGACATCTTCCAGTAGGGGCCAACTGACACCTCATACGGCTGGGTGCACCTCTGAGACGAAGCTTCCAGGGGATGATCAGGCAGCAACATTTGCCGTTCTGCAGTATTTGTGGTTCTCCGCTGGTGATACCCAGGCAAACAGGGTCTGGAGTGGACCTCCAGCAAACTCCAACAGGCCTGCAGTTGAGGGTCCTGACTGTTAGAAGGAAAACTAACAAACAGAAAGGACATCCACACCAAAACCCCATCTGTAGGTCACCAGCATCAAAGACCAAAGGTAGATAAAACCACAAAGATGGGGAGAAACCAGAGCAGAAAAGCTGAACATTCTAAAAATCGGAGTGCCTCTTCTCCTCCAAAGGAACGCAGCTCCTCGCCAGCAATGGAACAAAGCTGGACGGAGAATGACTTTGACGAGTTGAGAGAAGAAGGCTTCAGACAATCGGTAATAACGAACTTCTCCGAGCTAAAGGAGGATGTCTGAACCCACTGCAAAGAAGCTAAAAACCTTGAAAAAATATTAGACGAATGGCTAACTAGAATAAACAGCATAGAGAATACCTTAAATGACCTGATGGAGCTGAAAACCATGACATGAGAACTATGTGACACATGCACAAGCTTCAGTAGCCAATTTGATCAAGTGGAAGAAGGGGTATCAGTGACTGAAGATCAAATGAATGAAATGAAGTGAGAAGAGAAGTTTAGAGAAAAATGAGTAAAAAGAAACGAACAAAGCCTCCAAGAAATGTGGGACTATGTAAAAAGATCAAATCTACGTCTGATTGGTGTACCTGAAATTGATGGGGAGAATGGAACCAAGTTGGAAAACACTCTGCAGGATATTATCCAGGAAAACTTCTCCAACCTACCAAGGCAGGCCAACATTCAAATTCAGGAAATACAGAGAACGCCACAAAGATACTCCTCGAGAAGAGCAACTCCAAGACACGTAATTGTCAGATTCACCAAAGTTGAAATGAAGGAAAAAATGTTAAGGGCAGCCAGAGAGAAAGGTCGGGTTACCCACAAAGGGAAGCCCATCAGACTAACAGCTGATATCTCAGCAGAAACTCTACAAGCCAGAAGAGGGTGGGGGCCAATATTCAACATTCTTAAAGAAAAGAATTTTCAACCCAGAATTTCATATCCAGCCAAACTAAGCTTCATAAGTGAAGGAGAAATAAAATCCTTTACAGACAAGCAAATGCTGAGAGATTTTGTCACCACCAGGCCTGCCTTACAAGAGCTCCTGAAAAAAGCACTAAACATGGAAAGGAACAACCAGTACCAGCCACTGCAAAAACATGCCAAATTGTAAAGACCATCAAGGCTAGGAAGAAACTGCATCAACTAACGAGCAAAATAACCAGCTAACATCATAATGACAGGATCAAATTCACACATAACAATATTAACCTTAAATGTAAATGGGCTAAATGCTCCAATTAAAAGACACAGACTGGCAAATTGGATAGAGTCAAGACCCATCAGTGTGCTGTATTCAGGAGACCCAACTCACATGCAGAGACACACACAGGCTCAAAATAAAGGGATGGAGGAAGATCTACCAAGCAAATGGAAAACAAAAAATAGTAGGGGTTGCAATCCTAGTCTCTGATAAAACAGACTTTAAACCAACAAAGATCAAAAGAGACCAAGAAAGCCATTACATAATGGTAAAGGGATCAATTCAACAAGAAGAGCTAACTATCCTAAATATATATGCACCCAATACAGGAGCACCCAGATTCATAAGGCAAGTCCTTAGAGACCTACAAAGAGACTTAGACTCCCACACAATAATAATGGGAGACTTTAACATCCCACTGTCAACATTAGACAGATCAACAAGACAGAAAGTTAACAAGGATATCCAGGAATTGAACTCAGCTCTGCACCAAGCAGACCTAATAGACATCTACAGAACTCTCCACCCCAAATCAACAAAATATACATTCTTCTCACCACCACATCACACTTATTCCAAAATTGACCACAGTTGGAAGTAAAGCACTCCTCAGCAAATGTAAAAGAACAGAAATTATAACAAACTGTCTCTCAGACCACAGTGCAGTCAAACTAGAACTCAGGATTAAGAAACTCACTCAAAACCACCCAACTACATGGAAACTAAACAACCTGCTCCCGAATGACTACTGGATACATAACGAAATGAAGGCAGAAATAAAGAGGTTCTTTGAAACCAACGAGAACAAAGACACAACATACCAGAATCTCTGGGACACATTTAAAGCAGTGTGTAGAGGGAAATTTATAGCAGTAAATGCCCACAAGAGAAAGCAGGAAAAGATCTAAAACTGACACCCTAACATCACAAATAGAAGAATTAGAGAAGCAAGAGCAAACACATTCAAAAGCTAGCAGAAGGCAAGAAATAACTAAGATCAGAGCAGAACTGAAGGAGATAGCGACACAAAAAACTCTTCAAAAAATCAATGAATCCAGGAGCTGGTTGTTTGAAAAGATCAACAAAATCGACAGACCGCTAGCAAGACTAACAAAGAAGAGAGAAGAATCAAATAGACACAATAGAAAATGATGAAGGGAATATAACCACCGATCCCACAGAAATACAAACTACCGTCAGAGAATACTATAAACACCTCTACACAAATAAACTAGAAAATCTAGAAGAAATGGATGAATTCCTGGACACATACACCCTCCAAAGGTTAAACCAGGAAGAAGCTGAATCCCTGAATAGACCAATAACAGGCTCTGAAGTTGAGGCAATAATAGCCTACCAACCAAAAAAAGTCCCGTACCTGATGGATTCACAGCTGAATTCTACCAGACGTACAAAGAGGAGCTGGTACCATTCCTTCTGAAACTATTCCGATCAATAGAAAAAGAGGGAATCCTCCATAACTCATTTTATGAGGCCAGCATCATCCTGATACCAAAGCCTGGCAGAGACACAACAAAAAAAAGAGAATTTTAGACCAATATCCCTGATGAACATCGATGCAAAAATCCTGAATAAAATACTGGCAAACTGAATCCAGCAGCACATCAAAAAGCTTATCTACCATGATCAAGTTGGCTTCATCTCTGGGATGCAAGACTGGTTCAACATACAAAAACCAATAAACGTAATCCAGCATATAAACAGAACCAAAGACAAAAACCACATGATTATCTCAATAGATGCAGAAAAGGCCTTTGACAAAATTCAACAGCCCTTCATGCTAAAAACTCTCGATAAACTAGGTATTGATGGGACATATCTCAAAATAATAAGGGCTATTTATGACAAACCCACAGCCAATATCATACTGAATGGGCAAAAACTGGAAGCATTCCCTTTGAAAACTGGCACAAGACAGGGATGCCCTCTCTCACCACTCCTATTCAACATAGTGTTGGAAGTTCTGGCCAGGGCAATCAGGCAAGAGAAAGAAATAGAGGGTATTCAATTAGGAAAAGAGGAAGTCAAATTGTCCCTGTTTGCAGATGACATGATTGTATATTTAGAAAACCCCATTGTCTCAGCCCAAAATCTCCTTAAGCTGATAAGCAACTTCAGCAAAGTCTCAGGATACAAAATCAATGTGCAAAAATCACAAGCATTCCTATACACCAATAACAGACAGACAGCCAAATCATGAGTGAACTCCCATTCACAATTGCTTCCAAGAGAATAGAATACCTAGGAATCCAACTTACAAGGGATGTGAAGGACCTCTTCAAGGAGAACTACAAACCACTGCTCAACAAAATAAAAGAGGACACAAACAAATGGAAGAACATTCCATGCTCACAGATAGGAAGAATCAATATCGTGAAAATGGCCACACTGCCCAAGGCAACTTATAGATTAAATGCCATCTCCATCAAGCTACCAATGACTTTCTTCACAGAATTGGAAAAGACTACTTTAAAGTTCATATGGAACCATAAAAGAGCCTGCATTGCCAAGACAATCCTAAGCCAAAAGAACAAAGTTGGAGGCATCACGCTACCTGACTTCAAACTATACTGCAAGGCTACAGTAACCAAAACAGCATGGTACTGGTACCAAAACAGAGATATAGACCAATGGAACAGAACAGAGCCCTCAGAAATAATACCATACATCTACAACCATCTGATCTTTGACAAACCTGACAAAAACAAGAAATGGGGAAAGGATTCCCTATTTAATAAATAGTGCTGGGAAAACTGGCTAGCCATATGTAGAAAGCTGAAACTGGATCACTTCCTTACACCTTACGCAAAAATTCAAGATGGATTAAAGACTTAAATGTTAGACCTAAAACCATAAAAACCCCAGGAAGAAAACCTAGGCAATATCATTCGGGACATAGGCATGGGCAAGGACTTCATGACTAAAATACCAAAAGCAATGGCAACAAAAGCCAAAATTGACAAATGGGATCTAATTAAACTAAAGAGCTTCTGCACAGCAAAAGAAACTACCATCAGAGTGAACAGGCAACCTACAAAATGGGAGAAAATTTTTACAATCTACCCATCTGACAAAGGGCTAATATCCAGAATCTACAAAGAACTTAAACAAATTTACAAGAAAAAATCAAACAACCCTATCAACAAGTGGGCAAAGGATATGAACAGACACTTCTCAAAAGAAGACATTTATGCAGCCAACAGACACATGAAAAAATGCTCATCATCACTGGCCGTCAGAGAAATGCAAATCAAAACCACAATGAGATACCATCTCACACCAGTTACAATGGCGATCATTAAAAAGTCAGGAAACAACAGGCGCTGGAGAGGATGTGGAGAAATAGGAACACTTTTACACTGTTGGTGGGACTGTAAACTAGTTCAACCACTGTGGAAGACAGTGTGCCAATTCCTCAAGGATCTAGAACTAGAAATACCATTTGACCCAGCCCTCCCATTACTGGGTATATACCCAAAGGATTATAAATCATGCTGCTATAAAGACACATGCACACATATGTTTATTGCGGCGCTATTCACAATAGCAAAGACTTGGAACCAACGCAAATGCCCATCAATGATAGACTGGATTAAGCAAATGTGGTACATATACACCATGGAATGCCATGCAGCCATAAAAAAGGATGAGTTCATGTCCTTTGTAGGGACATGGATGAAGCTGGAAACCATCATTCTGAGCAAACTATTGCAAGGACAGAAAACCAAACACTGCATGTTCTCACTCATAGGTGGGAATTGAACAATGAGAACACTTGGACACAGGGTGAGGAACATCACACACCGGGGCCTGCTGTGGGGTGTGGGGAGGGGGGAGGGGATAGCATTAGGAGATATATCTAATGTAAATGATGAGTTAACGGGTGCAGCACACCAGCACGGCACATGTATACATATGTAACAAACCTGCACATTGTGCACATGTACCCTAGAACTTAAAGTATAATAATAATTTTAAAAAGCCATGTATGTGCAGCCATAAAAAGGAAAACGATCACGTCCTTTGCACAAACACGGATGGAGCTGGAAGCATTATCCTCAGCAAACTAACAGGCACAGAAAACCAAACACTGTGTGTTCTCTAAGCAGGAGCTGAATGATGAGAACACATGGACATGTGGGGGGAACAACACACACTGAGGCCTGTGGCAGGCGGAGGGAGGGACAGCATCAGGAAGAATAGCTAATAGGTGCTGGGCTTAATACCTGGGTGATGGGTTGATCTGTGCAGCAAAACACCATGGCACACATTTACCTATGTAACAAACCTGCACATCCCTAAGTACCCCGGGACTTAAAAATTGAAGAAAAAAAATTTTTTTAAACAAATTTTTTAAAAAGCCATGTATGAACAAAACCCACAGCAAACATCATAATGAATGGTAAAGGACTTTTCCTCTAAGATCAGGAACAAAGCAAGGATGCCTACTTCTTCTATTCAACATAGAAAGTCCTAGCCGGAGCAATTAGGTAAGAAAAAGAAAAGACAGTCGAAATAGAAAATAAGAAGTAAAATTATCTTTATTCATTTGTATGATCTTATAGGTAAGAAAACCCTAAAGATTCCACACACACATACACAAAAGCCTGTTAGAACTAATAAAGTCAGCAAAGTATCAGGACACAAAGGCAACACACCAAACAAGCTGCATTTCTATACACTAACAATGACCAATCTGAAAAGGAAATTACAAAAAACAATTCCAATTACAATAGCATCAAAAAGAATAAGGCACTTAAGAATTGATTTAACCAAGGAGGTGAAAGATTTGTACAAGTGAAACTACAAAATATTGCTGAAAAATTAAAAAGATTTAATAAATGGAAACATATCCCACATTCACAAATTACAATACTTAATATTGTTAAGATGTCAATACTACTCAGAGCAATCTATAGATTCAATGCAATCCTTACCAAAATCCCAAATATGTTTTTTGAAGAAACAGAAAAACCCATTCTAAAATTCATATGGAATCTCAAGGGATCTCGAATAGCCAAAACAATCCTGAAAAGAACATAACTGAAGAACTCACACTTCCTGATTTTGTGACTTACTACAAAGCTACAGTGATCAAAATAATGTGGTACTAGCATAAAGACAGACATACAGACCAACGAACTAGAATAAAGGGCCCAGAAATAAACCCTTGTGTATAGGGTCAAATAATTTTTAACAAGGGAGCCAAGAACATTCAATGGTGAAAGGAGAGTGTTTTCAACAAATGGTGCTGGGAAAACTGGATAACCACATCCAAAGAATGAAGTTGGACCCTTATCTAACACCATATAAAAAAATTTATTCAAAATGGATTGAAGACCTAAATGTAAGACCTAATACACAGAATTCCTAAAAGAGAATATAGGGCAAAATCTTCACAACACTAGACTTGGCAATGATTTTTTTGGGTATGATATCAATGGCACAGGCAGCAAAAGAAAAAAGAGACAAATTAAACTTCATCAAAATTTTAAAATTTTGTGCATAAAAAGACAACATCAACAGAGTAAAAATGCAATCCACAGAACTGGAAAAAGTAATTGCCAATCATATATCTGATAAGAGAGTAATATCTACAATATATAGAGAACCCCTATAATCCAACAACAACCCAATTCAAAAATGGGCAAAGGACTTGAACATACACATTCTTCTCCAAAGAAGATATATTAATAAAAGAAAGGGCCAATAAGCACATGAAAAGATGCTCAATATCAATAACCAGTAGGGAAATGAAAATCAAAACCACAATGAGACACCACCTCACACTACTACCAGAAAATAACAAGTGCTGATGAGAACATGGAAAAACTGGAACCTCTGTGCCCTGTTGATGGAAATATTAAATGGTATAGCTGCTGCAGAAAACAGAATGGCAATTCCTCAAAAAATTAAAAAAATAGAATTAACATATGATCCAACAATCCCCTTTTGGGTATATATTCAAAAGAATAAAAAGCAGTGATTCAGACAGATATCTGTATGCACATGTTCATAACAGCATTATTCATAATTTCTAAAACATGAAAACAGCCCAAGTGTCTAATGACAGATGAACAAATAAACAAAGCCAGGAGTGGTGGCGTGTGCCTGCAGTCCCAGGTACTTGGGAGGCTAAGGCAGGAGAATCACTCGGGCCTGGGAGTGAGCTCAACACAGTGAGATCCTATTTCTTCCTTTAAAAAATAAAGAATAAATGTATTTTAAAATGTGGTATATGCATAAAATGGAATATTATTCAGCCATAAAAAGGAAATTCTGACATATATGCTATGGAACAGATGAACTGTAAGAACATTATGCTAAGTGAAATAAGCCAGTCACAAAAAGACAAATTCTATATGATTCCACTTACATGAGGTACTTGGAGTAGTCAAAATATATAGAGAGAAAGCAGAATGTGTTTGCTAGGGACAAGGGGAAGGGAAGAATGGGGAAGCTCTTGTTTAATTGATATATTGTTTTAGTTTTACAAAATGAAAAGAGTTCTGGAGATAGATGGTGATCACAGTTGCACAACATTATGAATGTATTTAATACCATTCAACCGTACACTTAAAACTGGTTAAGATGGTATATTTTACGTTATGTGTATTTTACCATATTTTTTAAAATCAGGAAAAAAGGAGACATCTGGTCTGTATAATCATTTTCTTTTTTATTTTATTTTTTATTTTTTGAGATGGAGTCTCACTCTGTCGCCCAGGCTAGAGTGCAGTGGCGCGATCTCAGCTCACTGCAACCTCCACTTCCCAGATTCAAGCAATTCTCCTGCCTCAGCCTCCCGAGTAGCCAGGACTACAGGCATGAGCCACCACGCCTGGCTAATTTTTGTTATTTTTAGTAGAGACGGGGTTTTGCCATATTGGCCAGGGTGGTCTCGAACTCCTGACCTCAAGTGATCTGTCTGCCTTGGCCTCCCAAAGTACTGGAATTATAGGCGTGAGCCACCGCGCCCGGCTTTGTTTTGTTATTTTTTAAAATCAACTTTCAAGTGCTTGAAATGGTCTGTATAATCATCATACTCTCACGGTACAGGAAGAAGGAAAGCAAGAGGCTCTGAGAGACCAGTTTGAACGATGAGTTTTTTGTTTGTGGCACCAGCACTTAATGAACAAGTTTAAAGCAATGAGCAAATGAATGAGACTGACCTATTGCTTGGAGAATGCAGTGGAACTGCTCAGGAAGAAGAAAGGAAGAAAATGACAGGAAGAAGAGAAAGAAAATCATTTTGCTTATGTCCTACAGTATGGGGCACAGTTTCGTAAGAGAAAGCAGAAAAAGCATAAACTGGAGGGATGCTGCTACTGCCACAATAAAGCAGGGTCAGAGAGCCACCTGGGTCCTTTATATGAATTGGTGTCTCAGTCTCTGACAGAATACTCATGAAATTTACTAAGAAGGATCAAATAGATAAAAAATAAAGTCTGAATGGAAAGAAAGAAAATATTTATAAATATTAGAAAAACATGATATACTAGGTTACCAGAAAAAAACCCTTAAAATATATTCCTAAAGTAAAAACTGTACAGTTTTTATCCTTCAACGAAGCAAACTAGGAATTAAAAACTTAAGTTTAAGCGACAACAAAAAATCCTGCCTCCTTAGAAAACTTAAAAATATTAACTCACAAAAGTAATGAATCAAAGAGAGATATGCAAACTATGCCTACAGTTAACTTGGAAAATAAAAGTGAATATTATGTAGTAAGACTTACAGGATACTACTGCTAAATTATAATGAGAGGCAAAATCTATAGTCTAAAACCTTTTTGTCACAAAATAAGTACACTAAGCTTTCAAATCATTAAGTTTGAGAAAATCAACAGTACAAACTTAAGGAAACCGGTAAGGAAAATAAATATAAAGACAATAATGAATTGTTTAAATATTAATGACCAGCATGAGTAAAAAGTATGTATATACATATTTACATAGTGTTGGTCACAAGCTGAGGGAAAAGATAAAAGTCTGGATAGCTCAGGGCAAAAGGCTCATCCCTCCTAGGTAAACAATCCTGAATATGTGGTCTACACCAAAAGCTGGTGAAATAACTTGATTTGTACAGACAAAGGACAGCATAAATTTATGATGTGAACTTATAAAAGTAACTCACCTTTGGATTTATTTTAAGAAATAAAGGCAGCTATGGGTTCACTTTTAAAAGATTTAAGACTATGAATTTTGCCACGTAAAAATTTTAGCAATATCATTTTAAAACATTCATGTTTCAGCAATTCCTTTTTACCACTGAACGCTTACTTTATTTACTTAACTAGATTGCATTTAACCTTACATCCTGTCTACGGGGTATATCCGGCTCTCAGGACCTCTATGGAGCAGAGTCTCCTAACAGCCGGACAACTACTTGCCACTGCTCCCCCCAAAATAACCACCACCAGGAAATCTGATGACATTACTCAGTGAGCAGACGTCAGCAGTGGGCCCTCAAAGAGTAAACAACTTCCTGACTGCTCTAGAAAAGAGGACTGGAACTTCTGGAATTCTTGTATCCATCCTTTCTTTATGTATGGAAATCATAATCAAACTGACCTAAGGTTTCAGGTCACAGCCCTCTTAATAATAATTTATTTTTCACATTAATATTTACAAGGGAATAATCATTTCAAATAAATTTAAATAGCATAGCTTTGATTTTATCTTTCAGCTTTAAAAGCAACTGACATTTTTAAGCAATATAGAAACAAAAGTATGTTCAATAGCTGATATCAGTAATTATACACGTTCTTAATCTTTTATACTTTTAAATATTTGTGAATGTATTAAGATTATTTAAAAAGGTTATAATATTAGGATATCAGACAATATGATGGTGTTGATTTGCATTTTAATATTGAAAAGTAAAACTTTTTGTAAATATGGTTTACAGATATATGAAACAAATTATTAGAAGTTTTGATTTCGTTTGCCTAACTGATCTAACATCATTTAGATGTGGTATTAGAAGGCAAAGTTATTATGTTACAAATCTTGATTAGGGGTGGGTGAGAAAGAAAATAGATATATAATTCCAACCTCTGTAAAATTTCTACTCCCCTCTACCCTCCCTATCCCTTGCCTGCTTTGTTTTTATTTCTTAGCTCCCAATCACCATTTGGTATACTACATATTTTATTATCTATCTTCTTTTTTGTCTGTTTCTCCCACTGGAATACAGAGTTCTATAACAACAGGGATTTACCTGCTTTATTCATTACTATATTCCCAACACCCAAAACAGTGTCTAGTACATGGTATTCAAAAAATATTTTGGAATTAATGTGCAGTCAACAGCTAATCTTTTTAAACCAATCATTTATCTAGAAATTATACTCATACCAGCTTATTACATAAATATATGTATGTAATACAGGACTTGTAGTTTTCAGAGTAATTTCATAGGTACTTTATTCCATTAAGAAACAGAAAGAATGGCTGGGCGTGGTGCCTCACGCCTGTAATCCCAGCACTTTGGGAGGCCGAGGCGGGCAGATCACCTGAGGTCAGGAGCTCAAGACCAGCCTAGCCAACATAGTAAAACCCTGTCTCTACTAAAAATACAAAAATTAGCCAGGTGTGGTGGGTGCCTGTAATCCCAGCTACTCAGGAGGGATTGAACCTGGGAGGCAGAGATTGCACTGAGCTGAGACAGAGCCACTGTACTCCAGCCTGGGTGACAGGGCGAGACTCTGTCTTAAAAAAAAAAAAAAAAAAAAGAAACAGAAAGAAGAATCTTACGAAGAGCCTAAGTCCTAGGAACTACAAAACAATCATATGATCGATCTCTTTTTTTCCTTCATCCTTTTATTAGAAACAGAAAGTTATCCTGGGGTCAATTTACATTAATTGTATACAAAACCCAGGAACTGCAGTAAAGACATAAATCCAATTTTGGTCTGAACCATACTATCCCTTCAGGCTTTCCATGTACAACCAGTGACCATCTGTTTCTCTCTCTGGACAAAGAGAAATAATGTGATCAAAGGGACACAGCCTGGAAAGAGTCAGGAGATACCAGTTCTTAGGTGTGGAAGAGTCTAAATCCAGACACTTGTGGACCACCTATTACTGTAAGACAAGTGCAGTGCTAGATACTAGGAGTACAAAGAACCTAATCCTGTCCCTTGGGTAGCAGGAGAGGAAAATGCAAATAACAACATGGTCCAGTCAGTTTTAATAGAAAAAAGTATCTAACACGTAAATACTTTGGATCCAATCATATTTAAGTCCAATTTAGTTCTTACCTTATGAGCAAGGTAAGCTCATTAACTCCATTTTATTGATGAAGAAGCTGACACTCAGAGAAGTATGGTCAAATAGTTGGTAAGCAGTAGTTGCAGGAATGGGACCCAGTTCTGTCTGAATTTAATTCCTGTGATCTTTTCATGCTCTATTAGGAAAAGTCTAAAATAACCTGGCCGTAATCTGTATCTAGCTGGAAAAAGATCAAGAAACTGGAAAACAGCATTTATCCTTCTGACAGATCTTTACTGAACATCCACTATGTGCCAAATGGTCTCCTAGGCATTGAGGATTCAATAGACAGCAAGACAGACAATATCTCTGATTAACAACAGGGAAAGATGTGATGGAGAGTAACTGAATCAGAGTCAAGGAAGGCCCCTCTGAGGCAGCAATGCAGGAGGTGAGATCTGAATGACAGGAAGTAGCCAACCATGCAAGAGGTGGAGGAAGGAGTACCAGGCAGAGGAACAGCTAGTGCACAGGACCTACAGTGGAAATAAGGTGGGACACTGGAGGAAACAAAGAGGAAGAAGGTCAAGAGATGAGGTTACAGCTAAGCAGGGGCCATACAAAGAAGGTCATGAGATGAAGTTACAGCTAAGCAGGGGTCATACGATGCAGAGTTTTCTAAGGCAGGACAAGACATTTGAATTTTATTCTAAATTTCATGAAAAGCCGCTTAAAGGTTTTATACAAAGAAGTGACATAATCTGATTCTTCTTTCTAAAAAAGATGTCTTTGGCTGCCAATGGAGAATGAACTACGGGAGGATGAGAGTAGAGGCAAGGCCAATAAGGAAGCTTCTGCAGTAGTCCAAACAAGAGAAGATGGTGGCTTGGCCTGGGGCCGGCCACAGAGATAAACAGATTTAGGATGTGTTTTGGAGAGAGTGATCAGGACTTGCTGATGGACAGGACACTGATTCCATCACTAAGATCCACTGATTCCTAGACCAGAGTTCTGATTATCTGATTTGCAGTTTTCTATCATTGTGGCATGGAAATTTGGGGCTCTGCAAGGCATCTTAGTAGCAACTGATGTGCATCTGCTTGGTCCTTTCCAGATCCACCCACAAGATGGCACCAAGGTCTACTCTTGAGGCAAAGTTCTCAGCTGCTTTCCCTGGTTCTTCTCCCAGACTCTTTATCTGTCCCCCACTGTCATAGTCTCTTTCCTCCCCCTACCTGTTCCTGATTTTCCCATCAGTCGATTTAAACAGTAAATATTTACTGTGAACCTTGTGTATGTTACCCTGACTGATTGCAAATTCTAGTTATATACTGGGGTGAAATCATGCACATCCTTTTTTCCCAAACCCGTAGTGTTGGGCAAAAAATGATATCCAGATTAAATAAGCTATTTCAAGTAGTTACCACAATGCCTGACAATGAGTAAATGCCCAATAAATTCTAAATATCTACAGCAAATATTTTCCAAGAAGCTTTTGCTATGAAATTATAATTCTATAATGCACATACATATTACAAGGCATTTTTTTAAACTGTATTTTTCCAAAGCACTATTTCTTTCAGAACACACTGGCTGGGTGTGGTGCCTCACGCCTGTAATCCCAGCACTTTGGGAGGCCAAGGTGGGTGGATCACAAGGTCAGGAGTTCGAGACCAGCCTGGCCAATATGGTGAAACCCTGTCTCTACTAAAAATACCAAAAATTAGCTTGGCGTGGTGGTGGGCACCTGTAGTCCCAGCTACTCAGGAGGCTGAGGCAGGAGAATCACCTGAACCCGGGAGGCAGAGGTTGCAGTGTGCCAAGATCACACGACTGCACTCCAGCCTGGGCGACAGAGTAAGACCCTGCCTCAAAAAAACAAACAAACAAACAAACAAACAAACAAAAAACCATTAATTTCATGATACCTTGAAATACTGTACAAAGTAGGATCTAGTTCTTAAATATCGTATTAACGTATTAAATACAGGGGACAAATGTAAGTTTTCCCGAAATGTTAAAATTACCTTTGAAAGTAAAACTAGTAAGAATTAACCCATAGAAAAATGAGAATAGTCAACTATAGGAGAGATAACCCAATCCGAGATCTTCTTCAAACATGTCACTGAGATCTGAGGATCCTCAAATCCAATGTGGCAATCTGAGGTATAAAATCATGGAGGCCAGACTAGAATCTACCTCTTCCCTCCACCCTCCCAAAAGACAAAACTGATCACTTGCCTATTCATCTGTCAGAATGAAAAGGGGGGTCTACAGGCTGCCCCAGGGAGCAGGGAGCCAAAGGTTGAGAACTCAGTGCTATTTATTTAACTCCCTTCTAAAGAAAAACTGAATTCAGCAGGCATGGGTGATATGGATACCAAATCAATTGATTAACAAATTAGCAGCATGCCTCTCTCTCAGATGAATCTATTTCAGGAATATTTACATTTGTCAATCATGTTTCTGTAACACACTGTATATTCAGACAGAGAGCCTTGTCTGGAGGTTCTACAGCTGTTTGCCTGCATACCTGATCACTACTAGCATCCTGACTGCAAAGGCCAGCCTAGGTTTTATTGGGTTGGCTAATGAGCTTTAATGAGATTTAAGGAGATTACAATGAGAATGACAATCCACACAATCGAATTATCTAGAATCACCCACAGTTCCCATAACCCGTATTCTGGAGGTTAGACAGATATGGGGTTTGAACTGTGACCCTTTCTGAAAAACTGTGAGTTTCTTCACTTTGCTAAGCTTCACTTGGAAAATAGTGATTGTGAAGATTAAATGAGTAACAGATATGAAGCACTCTGTGCAGTACCCGCCACACAGTTAAGTGCTCCATAATGTATAGCCATTACTACTGGAAGTGGATGCACAACCATTCATAAAGCCCCTACTTTGGTTCTAGAACAAAGAAGGCATCCTTGACCAGGTAGGGAAGCTAAACATGCTATCTCTGTCATAGCTTTGGGTAGAAAGTGAGTTTTGAGACTGAAAGCTATCTGAAAAAAATCTGCAACAAAGAGTAAATTGTTAACCCCAGCCTCCTTCTTGTATTAAACCATCGGACCTTCTGAATGCTGTCCTCAACCTGAGGCTGTACTGTTAAAACCATCTCTTGGCTGGGCATGGTGGCTCATGCTTGTAATCTCAACACTTTGAGAGGCTGAGGCAGGAGCATCACTTGAGCCCAGGAGTTCAAGACCAGCCATAGCGAGATGCTGTCTCTACAAAAAATTAGCTGGGCACGGTGGTACATACCTGTAGTCTAAGACCAGAGAGGCTGAAGTGAGAGGATCAATTGAGCCAAGGAGTTTGAGGCTGCAGTGAGCTATTATTGCACCACTGCACTCCAGCCTGGGTGACAGAACAAGACCCTGTCCCCTCAAAACAAAAAACAAAAAAACAAAAAACAAACCTCTGAGTCTTCTTTTAAGAGGGCTATACAAGTATCTCAGCAACTAGCAACTGGCCTATACTATTTTTTATTAAAAAAAAAAAATTGGTTTCTTTAAAGTTTCTTTTTGGAATTTTACTACTAATTATGTCTAATTCTAAATTTCAAATAATCATCTCAGAAAAATCAAGGAAGTCATTTGCTTACGTTCAAAAGAAAACGGAACTTGGGGTTTCAGAGGAGAAACTACTGGAACGAGAGGTAAGTATATAGTAAAGGAACTAACAACATCAACAAAGAATGTGAGAACTCCTGGGGCAGATGAAGGCCTTCAGATCAAGGATGGGGGACATTAGGATGGGGATGGAGGTGAGGCCCCAGCCTTGGACAATCATCGCCTGCCCCTTCATTGCAAATAGCAGCAACAGCCCAGGCTGAAGGTTTAGGAAACCTAAACCTCTTGTAAGGGAGACCGTCTCTTCCTAGGGGTGCATCTTCCTAAGGGTTTAAAGGCAAAATCTTGACCAGAAGTTGTCTGGTGTTTATATAAGAAAAAAATGTGTATTTATGTGCCCCAAAATGAATACATTTTTAACAAAATGGTGGGCGGAAAGTCTCAAATTATAATCCAAATACACTTGTTAGAACATCGTAGTAGTCATAAGTGCATAAACATTTTGAAAAGCACAGACTGTCAAAGAGGATGTGCATCTCCACAGCTGCTGGTGCAGAGGACATCCAGCACCATCCTCTGTGGGGCTGCTCTTGGCCTTCCTATGGCAGGTCACGAGAGAGCAGGCAAACGGTTCTTGTTGGTGCGTTCAAAGCAAACACTTGCTAATAAGCAATGTCTGATAACAGAAAATGATGTTTTAAGCATTTTACATCCTACCAGACTAGACTACTACTTTACTAAGTTTCAGTCATGCTGTAGGAAATAGGTTTGGGGTTGAGTTGACTTGTAATGAATCGTATTTTTTCCCATTAAAAGTAACAAGAAATTGCTTCTGGTTGACATTTTCATGTATAGCATCTGATGTTCAGGAACCAATTACTGAGGTTTGGCCTAAAATGCCTGCACTTGCATTACCCTACAACCCAGAAGTGATGAGCCTGGGCCTATTCACAAAGATCTGTAAGGGGACATATGAAAAGATGTCTGTCTAGGGTTATGTGTGGTGGCAGGGGGTTACGAGCATTCTCAGTATATCTAACTAGGGGATAATAATATGATGAATCTTAAAAACATGCCAAATTAAAAAAATAAAGACAATGAGATCTACAATACAATACCATTTACATAAATTAAAAATACATAAGCAAGGCCGGGTGTGGTGGTTCACGCCTGTAATCCCAGCATTTTGGGAGGCCAAGGCAGGCGGATCACAAGGTCAGGAGATCGAGACCATCCTGGCTAACACGGTGAAACCCTGTCTCTACTAAAAATAGAAACATTAGCCGGGTATGATGGTGGGCGCCTGTAGTCCCAACTACTCAGGAGGCTGAGTCAGGAGAATGGCGTGAACCCGGGAGGCAGAGCTTGCAGTGAGCCAAGATTGCACCACTGCACTCCTGCCTGGACGACAGACCCAGACTCCGTCTCAAAAAAAAAAAAAAAATACATAAGCACATAACAATATATACTTTAAATGAACACAGAAAAACAAAACTACATACATTAAACACACTAGAACAGGTGCCTAGAGAAGACAGAAAGGAAAAGGGTGTACATAATCAGAAATAAAACAAAAAGAGGAGACTTAAGGCAAAAATGTTTTTTCTTTTCTTTTCTTTTTTTTTTTTTTTTTTTTAGAGAAGAGGTCTTGGCTGGGCATGGTGGCTCACGCCGTAATCCCAGCACTTTGGGAGGCGCCAAGGTGGGCAGATCACCTGAGGTCAGGAGTTGAGAAGAGGTCTTGCTATATTGCCCAGGCTGGCCTGGAACTCCTGGGCTCAAGTGATCCTCCTGCCTCAGCCTCCCAAGTAGCTAGGACTATAGGCGCACACCATCACACTCAGCTTCTTTTTCTTTTTTTTCTTTAACATATCCATCACCCCAAATATTTATCATTTCTTTATGGTGAGAACATTTAAAATGCTATCTCTTAGCTATTTTGAAATATACATTATTATTAACTGCAATCTCCTTGCTATACAATGAACCACCAGAACTTATTCCTCCTATCTAAATGAAACTTTGTGCCCTCTGACCAGTGTATCCTCTTTTCCCATCTACCACTCCCCTACCCTCCAGCCTCTGGTAATTATCATTCTACTCTTTACTTCTAAGTTCAACTTTTGTATATTCCACATAAGTGAAATCATAGGGTATTTGTCTCTCTGTGCCTGGCTTATTTGACTTAGCAGAAAGTCCTCTAAGTTTATCCATGTTGTCACAAATGACAGGCTGAATAGTATTCCACTGCATGTATATATTGCATTTTTTAATCCATTTGTCTGTGGATCAGCACATCGATTGTTTCTACATCTTGGCTGTTGTGAATAAAACTGCAACGAACACAGGAGTACAGACAGACATCTCTTCAACACACTGACTTCAATTCCTTTGGATATACACTCAGAAGTGGGATTGCTAGATGGCATGCTAAGTCTATTTTTAGTTTTTTTTTTAGGAACCTCCATACTGTTTTCCAAAGTGACTGTATATATTTACAATACTACTAACAGCGTGTGAAGTTCCCTTCTCTCCTCCACATCCTCACCAACGTTTATTTTCCATCTTTTTTTTTTTTTAGACAAGATCTCACTCTGTCACCCAGGCTGGGAGACAGTGGTGCGATCACAGCTCACTGCAGTCTCAACCTCCCGGGCTCAAGCAATCCTCCCACCTCAGATTCCCAAGTAGCTGGGACTACAGGCATGTGCCACTATTCCTAGCTAATTTTTACTTTGTGTTCTATAGAAATGAGGTCTTACTAGGTTGCTCAGGCTGGTCTGGAACTCCTGAGCTCAAGCGATCCTCCCGTCTCAGCCTCCCAAAGTGATGGGCTTATAGGCATGAGCCACTGTACCCACTCTTTTCTTTTTTTTTTTTTTCTTGAGATGGAGTTTCGCTCTTGTTACTAAGGCTGGAGTGCAATGGCACAATCTCGGCTCACTGCAACCTCTGCCTCCCGAGTTCAAGCAATTCTCCTGCCTCAGCCTCCCAAGTAGCTAGGATTACAGGCATGAACCACCACGCCTGGCTAATTTTGTATCTTTAGTAGAGACGGGGTTTCTCCATGTTGGTCAGGCTGGTCTCAAACTCCTAACCTCAGGTGATCTGCCTGCCTCAGTCTCCCAAAGTGCTGGGATTACAGGTGTGAGCCACCGGCCTCAGCCTTATCTTTCACCTTTTTGATAACAGCCAATCCAAAGGTATGAGGTGATATATTTCATTATGGTTTAATTTGCATTTCTCTGATGATTAGAGGTGTTGAGCATTTTTTTCCATTTATCTGTTAGCCATCTGTATATCTTCTGAGAAATGTCTATTCAGGTCCTTTGGCCATTTTTTAAGTTACGTGTTTTCTTGTTATTAGTAGTTTGCGGTTCTTATATATTTTGGATATTGGCCCCTTATCTGATGTGTGATTTGCAAATCTTTTCTCCCAGTCTGCAGCTTGTCTCTCCATGCTGCTAATTGTTTCCTTTGCCGAGTACAGAAGCTTTTTAGTTTGATGCAATTTCATTTTTCTATTTTTGCTTTCATTGAGGCAAAGATTTCTTAACCAGATACGAAAAGCACTAATCATAAAGGAAAAGACTGATAAGTTAGATTTCAAAATTAAGAACTTTGGGTCATCAAAAGACCCATGTAAAGGAATGAAAAAGTAAGCCACGAAGTTGGAGAAAGTATCTGCAAAACGTAAAACTGACAAAGAGCTCATACCCACAATATACGAAGAATGCCTGCAGATTAGTAAAACACACACACACACACACACACACACACACACACACACCCCCCAATTGGAGAGAGCCTTGCAGAGTTAGATGACACTAATACGCAAGAGCTAAGAAGGATAACTCAATCTTCTTTTTCTGAATTCAACTAGCAAAAGAAAGTGAGCTCATCAACAATTTTTAAGTTTTAACAATTTTATTAAAATGTATGTCAGCAGGAAATTTGAACAGATATTTTAAATTTTGTAAAACGTAACAAATATGACTAAAGTATCTTCTATTTCAAGAGTATTGTTGGGAGAAAATGGAAAAAGAAGTGTTTGCATCTACAATTTGTATATCTACAAGGGGAAATGAGTTACTTATGCAACTACTACACAGTAGAAAGCTTTGTTTCCATAGAGATTATGACACAACTGATTTCAGCCTTAAATTAGAATATTCTGATTTGAATTGAGAAATGATCTTTTTGTCTAAATGAATAGTGTATTCAGTGCAAATAAAAGCTCTGCACATCTGCTGATATCATTTCCTCTTTACTTCAGTAATAATTAATAAGAAGAACACAGCCACACCAGTCCCAAAAAGGCATTCGTATCCCTAAAATCTCACAAATGAGGTTTGAAAATAAAGGGAATGACATATTTCTACAGGATATACAAAAATACTGGCCATAAAGAACCATCATGAAACATTTTGAAATATCTTTCTGCTCATTTCACATTATAATTAAGGCTCAGTTCAGTAATTAAAAATGATCAATTTAAATAAAGTTCAAATCAGGCAAAACTAATCTATAGTATATTTTGTGGGGTGAGAGGTAATCAAAAGGGAATACAAGGGCATCTCATGGGGTCCTGGAATGCTCTTTTTTAATCTGGATGGTTACATTTGCAAAAAGAAAGTGATCAGGCTGGGTGCTGTGGCTCACGCCTGTAATCCCAGCACTTCGGGAGGCAGAGGCGGGCAGATCACCTGAGGTTGGGAGTTTGAGACCAGTGTGACCAACATAGAGAAACCCTGTCTCTACTAAAAATACAAAATTAGCTGGGCGTGGTCGTGGGCACCTGTAATCCCAGCTACTTGGGAGGCTGAGGCAAGGGAATCCCTTGAACCCGGGAGGGAGAGGTTGCAGTGAGCCAAGATTGCGCCATTGCACTCCAGCCTGGGCGACAAGAGAGAAACTCCGTCTCCAAAAAAAAAAAAAAAATTAGTCCAGTATCTTAAGAGCACTGCAACCTTCATTTGAAGAAAAGACCTCTCTCTAATAGCAGGACCAGTTGCAGGGGCAGCCTGCCACTGGGGAAGAAGCTGGGGGTGGGGACTGTTCTATCTCCCTCACTTCCTCCCCAATCTGCTAGCTGCTGTTTCTGAGGCAGGGAGGACAGGAAAGGGTCAGAGAAGTCCCTGACCAGTGCTGTTAGAAGACGACTTCTCATTCTTGGGGCCTGATGGATGTTTAAAGCTCTTTCTCTAAAAAAGCATTTTTGTGATGTCTCTAGAGATTCTTCTACTGTGTCCCTCCTGCTGCAACTTCCTTTAGATGGGCAGCTGAGGCAGTGCCTCAGCTGGCTTTTCTTGGTCCTTTCTCCTTTTCTACCAAAGTATAGATCCCACAACCTTTACTGCTGGAGTCCTCTCAGCCTGATGAGCTAACATCTTGGGCAGGAACTCCTTAAGAATGACCCCAGGTCAACATTCTACCTGGATCCTGCATCTGCCCATAGCCAAAGTGTATGTGGGCTCATAGCTTTACTCTCTGAGCACTAATGTTTTGTTTGGTGGGAGGGAAGGGTTGATGTATACAGGTTCAAGTCCACTAGGCTTTAGGAATAAAGTGGCTCTGCTTCCTGGCGTATGTACTCTGTCCTTCAATGTCTCTAACACGGTCAACTACTGGGGTGTTTCCTGTTTATGCCCCCATTTTAATCATGGGAGCCTCTGAGACAGCATCACATTCACTGCTCAGATATATGCTGGCAGCCAGGGTCTTTGAATTGATGTAGAATAGAGTAGTACCAAGAGGAAGCAGGAAGAAGACAGGGAATGCAGTACCTGACTGCTGTTAAAAGTAGCATCCACATAAACAGAGGAATTTGGATGGCTGCCAGGGTTAATGAGGAGTGGACCATGAGGAAGGCAGTTAAGTCTTCCCATTTTCTATCAAATTGCCAAGGGTGATATTCCTGTTTTAAAATATGTTTTTCAATCCAGTTCCATAACTTCTAAATATGTGCCCCACTAGGACTGTTTTTTGGTGTTGTCAGTTTCAACCTCAGATCTGCTGAAAATTTGGAAAGGTGGCATTAGCAACTGCTAGATGTCATTTAAACTAGAATCTCCATGTGTGCTATTATTGTCTGTTACATATGCACACTATTTCCATGAAACCAAGGAATGAAGGCAGCTTTGGTTCTGAGGGTGAAACAAAGGAGAACATTAAATACACATATTAGGGGACCACATATTATGACACTTCAGAAAGTTGGTCTGTTTATATTCCAAGAACTTCCAAAAACAAAATATATTTTCCTGGTCCTTGAGAATAGCTCTTGAGAAAAGAACTTCCATCAAAAACTCCAACATAACTATTCAAAATAAATAATAATTTGGTCTTTCCTTTTTTAGTTTCATTCATTTATTTATTAGTTTTGAATTTTTAATTTTTTCAGAGGAGTGAAACTAATCACCTTAAACAAAACACTAAGTACCTTCACTATAGTTGGCTGAGTGGAAAAAGAAAATCACTTTAAAGTTAATACTCAGGGCCCGGCGCGGTGGCTCACGCCTGTAATCCCAGCACTTAGGGAGGCCGAGGTGGGCGGATCACCTGAGGTCAGGAGCTTGAGACCAGCCTGGCTAACATGTTGAAACCCCATCTCTACTAAAAATACAAAAAATTAGCTGGGCGTGGTGGCGGGCGCCTGTAATCCAAGCTACTTGGGAGGCTGAGGCAGGAGAATCGGTTGAACCTGGTAGGCGGAGGTTGCAGTGAGCTGAGATTGTGCCATTGCACTCCAGCCTGGGTGACAAGAGGGAAACACTGTCTCAAAAAAAAAAAAAAAAAAAAAAAAAAAAGGAAATACCCAGAGGTGAGGTCCTGCTCCTGCTGACCCCAAAGCTTCTGAAATACCAGGTTTTGAGTTGCTCAGAGAAACATATTAGTGGAATATAAGGTCCGACTTCTTGATGACCAAGACTGTTGTAACCCCAACTCCCATTTATATTTATTGGTATGTCAGGTATCTGTCCATTGTTTCTGTTACCCCTTGTAGAGGCTACTTTCCTTTGTGCATGTATTTTGATATTTAAGATAACTGATATTTTGTCTAATGGTCACTTATTTATAAATATCTATCAACCTTTATTTATTTAGATAGTATCTATTTAACCCCCATGAAAATGATGAAATTAAAATATTTCTGGGCCAGGTTTCATGGCTCATGCCTGTAATCCCAACACTTTGGGAAGCCAAGGTGAGAGGTTCACTTGAACCCAGGAGGAGTTCAAGACCAGCCTAGGCAACATAGTGAGACCCTGTCTCTAAAATTAGTAAAACTAAATAAATAAAATATTTTCTTCTCCTGCACCATTCTTTTGCTAACCTATTTTAGTCAGTTATATTAACTCTTACTGTTTAGCTTTGTAGCTGTAAATAGACCCTATACCTCTATTAGTTCATTGTCAGCTTTACATGGTACCCTTTGAACCTTAGCTATTAACGATGAGGGAACAGCACTCTTACTTTACCTACAATCTTCTTTCCCCTCTCCTCCCACAGGTGGTTAGTTATATGACCACACACCGTCAGGTCATATAACCTTTACATTCTGTTCTACTGTATCAATCTCCACATTTGTTTTAACCTACAGTTAGAGGGTCAACACTCATTGCCATCTACTTTGCTGTAGTTTTTCCAGTTATCTCTTGGTGGACTGAAGTTTATCTTCGACTAGATTCCAAGAAGCGTTCACGAGAATATTCTTTCTTGATTTCTAACATAGAAAAATGCATTTGTTGTTTTTATATTTAAAAAACAATTTCATTGAATATAAAATCCTTGAGTCACACTGACTTTCCTTACGGAGTTTCTCACTGTTGCTCCAGTGTCCTCCCATGATCGTTAATAATACGGAGGAGTCAAAATTTCTCCTTTACTAAGTGACTTGATCTTTTGGCCTGGCTGCCTGAATGATTCTTTACATTTAAAATCTAATAACCCTACTGGGAGATGTTGCAAGGCTGGCCACTCTATGTTAATTTTTCCAGAACACAGTGTGTCTTTTCAAACTGTAGATTCAAGCTTTCTCTTATTTCTGGAAACTTCTTGATTTGTACTACAAAACTTTTGTTTTCTCCACTATTTGTTTCCTTCTTTAGGGAATTTTTGTGTTTTTGTTTTTCTTTTTTTGAGACCACGTCTTGCTCTATCGCCCAGGCTGGAGTGCAGCGGCACAATCTTGGCTCACTGCAACCTCTGCCTCCCAGGTTCAAGCGATTCTCCTGCCTCAGCCTCCCGAACAGCTGGGATTACAGGCGCCCGCCACCACGCCCAGCTAATTTTTGTATTTTTAGTAGAGACGGGGTTTCACCATATTGGCCAGGCTAGTCTCGAGCTCCTGACCTCAAGTGATCTGCCCATCTCAGTCTCCCAAAGTGCTGGGATTACAAGTGTGAGCCACCACGCCTGGCTTGGACCAGCTATTTGAAGATTCATTTGGGAGAGGAGCCAGGGCCATATTCAGGAGAGTAGAAGTCTTCTTTCTTTTACTTGCAAGCCTGTGTGTATATATGCACACAGGGTTGGGGAAGGTATTCTTGAGCCTCTCTCCCCCATCAACCAAAAGCAAAAGGCAGCTGTGGAGCTGTTCACAGTGTAGTCTCTCCTTCCTGCTACAAGGTCAGACCTCTCCCTACAAGTACTACTTGTCTAAGTCCTCATTCAATCCAGCCTCTTCTGCATCCTGGAATCAAACTAACTGCAGGGAAGCTCCTGCCATCAGCTTGTGTGCTCATTTCCACTATTTCAAATGAAGCATTTGGTTTTGAATCCCAGGGTGTGTCCCTTACGTTGGAAAATGTCTCTCTCTTTTCCTGAGATCTGTAGTCCCAAGTGCCTTCAGTCTACTTCCTCTCATACCCTGGTTCAATCTTTGAAGAACTTATTCTACTCATTTTCTGGTTTGGGGTTTCAGATATCTCCCAATTTCTTCAAAGATGGAGTTTTCATTTCTGTTTCTTTCTCTCCTAGCTGCTGGGGATAACTTCCCTGGGGAAGATAGAAAAAGGCTGACTTTACCATGTTCAAATCTTAAGTTGCACTTTTTTCCTCCATAAACAAAATGGCTTAAAAAATTTTTTTGAATATGGAGTAACACATGGTCACTCCAAAATCCAGACAATATAGAAAGGCTGCAGAGGAAAAAAGTAAAAAGTGATTACCCGAAATCTCATTACCCTAAAGTAATCCTTATTAACATAAGCACATATTCTTTGATTTTTTAAAATGCATTTAAATTGACCTTTTCCCATGCATTTTTCCACTTAAAACTGAGTATTTTCTTGAAAATACAGATCTAAATTATAATTTTAATAGTTATATGATACTCAAGAGAACTTCCTTTTAACTAAGAGTATCATAAGACACTGAAATGTTTAAACTTTAAAATAAACAATCCCATAAACCAGAAGTCATGCCCCTTAAAGATCAAATTTTCCACATTTTAGTTTCCTTGTAAATCAGAGAAAATGAGGGGTTTATTCCACAGACTTTTAGAAATAGAACAAGGAAGTCTAGGTCTTTAAAAACTAGGTAACCAAGGGTTCTTTTTAAAAGTTACTGTTTCCATGACCTTTGTTCCCAGTATAATAAATACACTGTATTTTCTTTCCCTGGTTTCTCATTTACAAGATAGAGAAAATCCAAACAAAACTATCCAACTCTTATACCATGGATGGACAATATCTACAGGTTATTAATCAGGAAAAGGGTCAAGAGAATTACAGACTGCTCCTTTACATCTAGAGGTGAGCTTCTACTATGGTGTCAAACAATGGAATGTGTGCAAATTGTCTACTGTCTGTGAGTTTTCATTAAACTGTCTTTTCTAGTCCATTTCCTTAATTAACAGAGACTTAGAGCTATACAAACACTGAACCTCAAAGCTGGCTATGGCTGTGAAGTAAAGAGAGAAAACATCCTGTTCTTTCACTGAGCAGACCTTAGAGACAACTTTTTCAAAGTAACATCACCTATACAAATGAGCGAACCTCTACATGACAAAGCACTGGTGTGTGCCAGGGAACAAAACTCCTAAGTGAATGTTATTCGCAAAAATATTCCAACAAGTGTCTGAGGGTAACCTGCAGGTTAGGATATACCCCTTACAAAACTGGGCAACCCTGGATTCAGCAATAAGCAGTCAGACACAGGAAGAGCTGAAACTAGAGGCAGCCAGTAATCAGCCTCTAGCGATTTATGAATAGTAATCAGGCCGTCACCACCAATAACAGCATGTAACATTTGGATGTTTACTATGTACCACAGAACATCTTAATCCTCACACATCAACTCTATAAAGTAGGAACTGTTATTATTATTCCTAATTATAGATTTGGAAACAGAGAGGTTAATCTACTTGTCAGTCACACAGCTAGGAAGCAGGGGTGTGGACTGAGGGCTGTACTCAGTCACTGCATGGTATTGCTGCGTGTGCTATAAACAGCTATGGAAACTCAGAAGATGGTTTAAGTGATTCTGACTGAGATGGTCAGAAAAGGCAAGAATCAGGGTAGGTCTGGAGCAACAGGGCAGGACTCAGGCAAGCAGAGAGCCAAAGGTCCACGTGAACAAAAGCATACAGGCGAGGAGAGCAATGGCAGGGTTTTTGACGGCACACAGATGATGCTAATCCCAAATCTCCCTCACCTATCTGGTAAGATGGTGTTATAGAAACTACAAGACAAGCTATGTGAGAGACAAAGACATAGAAGTCTAGTCTTATCTCTGCCTCTCATCATTATGTGGCCTAGGCTAGTCACTTATCCACTCCAGGCCTCAGTCTAGTCTGCCAAATAAGAAATGTGATGGGCTATCAGATTCAGTTTTAGATAACATAGTAGCTTGTGTATTTTATAATTTATAATCTTCTAATATATACAGATTTCTTACAAGAAGGATATGAAGTTGGTATTAATCAGCAGGTTTAGATGTAAAATTGTCATTTATTCATTTCAACATTTACAAAGCACCTTTTATGCGCTAAACGTATACTGAGTACTGATGTTATAGAAATAAAAACATAAATCCCATCTTCCAGAAGCTAAATATAGAAGGATATAAAAATATAAACAGATAATTACAACACTTTGTGAATGTTTAACAACAGGAACTTGTAGAGAGTGTGACTGAAAAGTAACTGATTAACTCTGTCCAAGGGAAAAATCACAAAAGTTTTCCAAAGGAGTGGAGTGATGCCTGCTGAGGTTAAATCTTGAAGGAAAAGTAGGGCTCTGCCAGATAAGAAGAGGGACATGAACATTCTAGAAAGAGAAAATATTATGTGCAAAAAGGCATGGAAGTGTGAAGCCACCAAGCATGTTAAGGAATAGTAAATGACTAAGTATGGTTGAAATGGAGGATTCCACAGTAGATGAGGCTGCAGAGGGGTCAGGGTCAGATGACAGAGGGCCTAGTTGGGTCTCATCAATTAACAGTGCTGCAGCCAGGCAAGCACTTAAGTGCCCAGGAACAAATACCAGGTAAAAACAATAAAACTAATTCCAGACACCAATAGCTCTCAGGTTTTTAGAGCTGCTCCTACATTCCTCACTCTGATTATGCTTAGCACTGGAAGTGAGTGACTAATTCTCACTTCTCACAGGAAAAGGAAACTAGTGACTGTGGCTGGGAGACAAAGAGGCTGTGGCTAGGAGATCATACCAAACTGGGCCAGATTCAATGGAGGCTACGGGGGCAAGACACAACCTCAGGTTCCAGGAACTGAAGATATTCCACAAGCAGGAGACAAAACTCAGGCAGAATCATACCCTCTGTTTTCAACACTTCTAGGAATTTACAAAAAGAAAGAGAAATAAAATGGTTGTGGGACTCTAATTTAGAGTACAGCTAGAGCTGACCTATGGAAGTAACCAAAGGGAGGTTGGAGCTCAATGCAAGTGAGAATTATGCCTCTAACAGCACCTGTTGGTCACATTCTCAACATCATTTTTCCCTTGACAGCAGTGGAAGCCACTAGATGTTCCTTCTGCAACCCTCTTTAGAACAGAGCAGACGCACACAGAACCCCTGGTCAGTGGGACCTGAGGGGAAGCCCGCTGGGGAGAGGTGGAGACTTCTTTCTCCCAGTTAAAAGAGTGTCCCCCTTCCCACCTGCCTTAGACATTGTCATATGAGTGACACTTGACTTCCAGACTCTAGACTTCTTATGTGAGAAAAGTAAGTTGCTTTTTAGTTCTGAATGCTGTTAGTTGCAGCTGAAGGGTCCTAACTGATACCATCTAACACTCAGAGATGAATAATGGCAGAATGTGCAGCTTCAGAAAAGGGTCCAGTCCAGCAGTGTCAGGCACCAGAAAATGTTTCTATCTCCAGGGTTTTATAAACTGTGTGTTACCATTGCATTTTCTTGTAATTTCACTCAGCGCCACATATATACAAATTCATGTAGAAAAGAAATAAATAGAAGTAAAATGTATATTTGGGAAGAAGATGGATATAAGGCAAACATAAGAGAGGTAATAAGCTCAGACAAAAGCCTTCAGTAGAAAATAGCATTGTCTCTGCAAATTTGTGACTGATGCTCCAAGTTTAAATAAAGTCATTAAAAAAAAAAAAAAGACCCGTGAGGACAAAACAGATCTGAAGGGGTCTGAACCAAATACAATGGCAGAAGGGAAAGGCATTGAAAACAGGAAAGAGATGTAAGTTTCCGACGGTAGCCAACACTAACTTATTGAGAAAATATATTTTAACAATAAGTTGGGTCATTAAAAAAATAGTCCTGGCTTCAGAGGATCCTACTACCTACGGTTAACATAAGAATATTGACAAAACATCGGCTATTATTAAACAAGAATTTCAGGGCTGGGCTGCCTAATGGAAGTATTAGCTATAAATAAAAATGGTTCAAAAAAAAGGAGAGGCCTTTCTTTTTTTACTACAGGCAAATAAGAATTCCTAAATGAAATACTAAATGCCCTCTCCAAAGTAGCTTCACATGGTCTTCAGCTTGACGAACATTTCTTTTCTTTACATTTCTCTCTCTCGACAGATTACTTTGTGCTGCCATCAATCCTTTTTGTTGGACTGCAATTTAACTCAATATTTACTGAGTCTTAAACATATGCAATGAAATATGCTGCATGCAAAAGAAGATTAAAAAGTGAGTTAGACACAGTGCTTAATGCTCTCAAGTAAACCACAGGTGATTGGAAAGGACAAGAAAAATCCACAAGACAGAGCAGATGGGAAGTCTTCATTGTGCTGGGAGGTGCTCGGGAGGGGTCGGGTGGGAGGTATTTGAGATGAGGATTAAAAAACAGGCAAGATTTTCAGAGGTAAAATGCTAAAGAAGTTAAAATGCAAATAAATCACCCAACTAAGAAAGCAAGTGACTTTTTTCTCTATCAAATTGCGAAATACAAGGAATAGATAACACTTTTGTAGGAGTATAAACTGGTACATTTGGGAAGGACAATTTAGCAGCACAAAAATTTTTTGTTTTCAAAATGTCCATGCTGGGCGGGCGTGGTGGCTCACACCTGTAATCCCAGCACTTGGCGAGGCTGAGGAAGGAGGATCACTTGAGGCCAGGAGCTCAAGACCAGCCTGGGCAACAAAGCAAGATCTTGTCTCTACAAAAAATAAAATAATTAGCCAGTTGTGCCGGCACACACCTGTAGTCCCAGCTACTTGTGAGGCTTAGGAGGGAGGATCATTTGAGCCCAGGAGTTCCAGGCTGCAGTGAGCTATAATCACACCACTACACTCCAGCCTGAGTGATAAGAGCAAGACTCTGTCTCTAATAAAATAATAAATAAAATAGGTTCATGCTCTGTGATTTAGCAGATCAAATTACATAGGTATCTCCTAAGGAAAATCATAACATTGTGTACCATGTACATATATATTCAAAAAAGATTTTTAAAAAATTTTAGGAATCATGATTACAAAAAAGATTTAGTTATATATTAATAGATGTTCACCACAGCATCGTTTACCACAGTTAAATGTTGCCAGCAACGTTAAGCGTTCAAATACTATCTCTATACAATGTAACACTATGAAGTTTTTATAATAGAAGTACATTAATTGACATGGAATGTGTTCATCTAAGTTTAAAAAGTAGATTTCAGAACAGTGTACTGCAACAGCCCATTTGTTTTTTAAAATGTATACATATCAGAAAAATGACAGGAAGGATATGCAACCAAAAAAAAATCAGTGGTAAATAATACCCTCCTCTACGTGGTAAAATAACAGTTATCTGTATTTTCTAGTTTTCTAGAATAAACATGTCTCATTTTAATAAGAAGAAATAAAAGCACAGAATTGTGTAAATTTCCTAACATACGTGAGCAAAATTTACCATTTAATCGCACTATTCCCAAAAATTGTTTTGCAATGCAGTGTTTTATAAGATGACAGTAAATGCCATTGCTCAGTCATCTTTGCACATTTCCTTGAAAGGGTAGGAATAACTAAACGCAGTAAGTCACAGCAAGGGGAGGAAGGCAGATTGTTTTGGCAACACACATAGCATGTCTTTTCTTGCAGACCCCAATCTCAGTATTTCCTTTTGATTTCAACACTGAAGGTAGAAAGCCTTTCCTGAGATTGCTTTACCACAGACACCACCTTGCTCAGGCGAGGTAGCTGTCTCTTTATTATTATGAATAGTTCTTGGGCTTCCAGATGGCTAAATATTTTCTGACTGTCTCTAAAAAGAAGTATGTCCTCTTCATTTCACATTTGTTTGCTACTCTAGGAAACTGACTGGCAAAGATTGGACTAAAACTTTAAGGAAGTTTTGACTCCTGGCCCAGACCACAGCCCATTCTGCAGCACACTGACTCTCCAAGTCTGGTCCACAGTCCAACAAGGCCTTCAGGGAGTCCTGGAGGGCAAAGAAAACAGGTCCCAAAGGACTTTTTGTTCTTACAGGCAAAGGACAATCAATTCCTTAGGTTCTCATCTTTATAACAAAGAACCACACAATAGTAACCTATTAACTGAGGTATTAAGAGATAAAATTTGGTGTTCATAAACCAAATTAGATGTTACTACAGTTAAGCAGTGTTTTAAAAAATGTTTTTGTAGACCACAGAAAGAAAAACGTTACCTCATAAACCAGAACACACAGACACACATAACTGAAACACAAGTTTCACAATGCCTTTTTTGACTACATGAGGCACTCTGTTGTTCTATATTCTAACTTGTTTTATTTTTTAAATTTAGTTTTTTTGTTTTGTTTTGTTTTTTGTTTTGAGACAGGGCCAGGCTGGAATGCAGTGGTATGATCACAGTTCACTGCAGCCTCAAACTTTTGGGCTCAAGCATCTATCTTGTTTTAAAATGAACTTGTAGTAGTTTTAAAAACAGCCACAAATCTTTTGACTCTCTACCCATTGAGAGATGGGGATATAGATCTCCATCTCTCTATCTCCACCTCCCTTGAATCTGTGCAGGCTTGAGATAGCATCCACAAATCCGGAACAGAAGTGATGCCATGTAACTTCAGAGGCAAGGTTATCAAATGTCCTTGTTCTTTTGGAACACTGGCTCTCTAAATGCTTCCTCTGGGGAACCTCTCTCTTGGAACCCAGCCACCACACTGTGAGAAGCCCAGACCACATGGAGAGTCTACATGTAGGTGTTCTGGTCATTGGTCCCAGCTGATTCCACTAGCCTTCAAGGCACCCCAGCCCAGACATCAGATGTGGAGTAAAAGAGCCTCCAAATGATCCCAACCCCCAGCCATCATGGAACAAAGACAAGCCACCTCCCATTGTACCCTGTCCAATTCCTGAGCCACAGAATCCATGAGCATAATAAACGGTTACTGTTTAATGTCACTAAGTTTGGGGTGGTTTGTTTCACAGCAATTTAACTGGAACAATAGTGCTAGGCATAATCTGCTAAACTGATGTCATGACCCATTAGCAGGCAGTTTGACAAACACGGGTTCAGAGGTCACTAATTCCATATTTGAAGCCTGGCACTCAACAGTGCTGAGTTTCCACTATTGAATCTGTGCATATTCATACAAGTTGAAATTTTTGCAACTAGGGATGGATGGGATGGGTGTAGTGGGGTAAAGCAGATTACAGAGTGTTTTGCCCCATATATATGGTCAGCATCAAAAAGGCGTGAGACTCACTGGGACCAAACCTGAAGCTCAAAGGTGGGCCACATTGTTCTGGCCCGAGTCTCAAGGTGTTCCTGGCTTCCTAAGGATAACCTGATGTCCTTGTGCCAAAGCAGACACTTAAAGACTCCAGTGCCTTACAAAGACTTTTTGGTCTAAAGGTGGCCTATGTACCTCTATCCACTTCAACACTGTCAGCCCTCACTACAGTTTCAGGTTTTTCTATTAATGAATAACTTTCATCTAAATATAAACTCAGATTAATCTGTTAAGGATTAGCAGTCTAAAAAAGAGGGGGGATGATAAGAAGCATTTCTGGTAGATGGAGAGCATCCAGCAGGCCTGGGCCCAGAGAATTTAAGTGTAATTGGTTAACTGGGCTTTGGGTTTCTTTCTTTAAATGTCACTAGTTACGATAATAACATAGTACTGCCTGCCCCCACACCCCCTACCCACCCCCCTGGAAAAAACAGGAAATTCATGAATAGGACAGGACTCCCAGGAAAAAACGCCTGGGAATGGGGGCACTGAGGAAGCCTCCCAAATGAAAGGGAAGCTCTTCAAGCACCTCAAGAAAGTAGGTCACTTCAGGGAACTGGCTTCAAGGGAGTGCCCCTTAAAAGCAAAGTGATCCAGTTCAAAGGGGTAGTGGGAGTAAGGGTTGGGGGAGCCTCAAGTCAAAATTCAGGTGACTTCAAAAAAACAGGTCTGATCCAGGACTTATGGTGGCCTTAGGATGTGAAGAGCATAGTTATATTACATTCTTGGTGACCACAAAAGCAAGAACAAACAATTCTCAGTCTGAAACAGTGAAAGAAAAGGTTTATCTGATTTATACACAGCATGTTTGCTCCAACCCATAATGGAAAAACACCAGATAAATCTAATTTGTTTGTTTTTAATCTGGATATGCTGTTGTTCAATGCACTTTTTAATGTGTAATGCACACAGATCATTGAGTTTCTGAAAAACTGTATCTGGAGCATTGGTAAGCTAAAGCCGCTGTTCAAAAGAATGACTAACAACCACAACAGCAGCGGCAGCCCCATTAACACATCTGAGCCAACAAACACCAGCATGAGACACACTAGAAGCAGAGAAACTAGAATGAACAAGTCCGAATTTTTGCCTGGCACATAGGTCACTCAGTAAGAGTCAATAGGGGAATGAAATGCATGGGCAAACTACTGGGAAATTTTGGGCAGCTAAGGAAGACTAAGAACAAAGAAGTTTCTTTTGACCCCCTCTGCTGAGGGTAGAGAAAAGCAAAAGGGAAGTTAATGTAACAAAAAGCCTACGCAGTAGGAGTAATAGAGGGTGAAAAGAAAAAAAAAAAGCCTAAGCAAGATGAAAGACTGACTGGCCCACATAGAAATTAGTTGGTCACTAAAAGAGAAACAACCTGCATGGAACTTGGCTAAGGCCAAACTAAGAAAGGGGCTTGTAACTTCAGAAAAAGATTCAAGATGAGCTGACAAAAGAAAGTCACCTATTAAGGAGAGAAATTACAAACTAGACCAAATTCACTTCTTAAATGGCAATTTCATATAGTTCAACCAAATATATGCCAGGTACTGTGCCAGGGATGCAAAGATACAGTCCCTGCTTTCATCAAGGAAGTTATGGTCTAGGGGAGGGAAGGACAGCAGACGATGATATGGTATGATACCTGCTAAGTTAGAGATAAGCATAAGGAACATAGGGACAGATAGACGGATCAGAGGGTTCAAGAAAGATTTCCCGGAAGAGGTGATCTCAGAGCTCAGTCTTAAAGGGCCAGCAGGAGTTAGCCAGGTAGAGAAGGTAGGCAAGGGAGCTACAGGAAGAAGAAATACAAGCAAAGGCCCAATGACCAACTTTTTTTTGGAAATCTGAGCAAATTCCACTCTTCGTAGCATCAAGACATCTTTGGAGGCTGTGGACAGCCAGTTCCACCAAACCTCCAGGTCCAAACCATCCCTGATCCCTTGGCAACCAAAATGCCATCTTTTAAGTGTGTTCATGCCATCTGGCCTCAATACTTCATTCCTGCTCAACTCTCCCTCCTTCCCTGAACACTTGGAACACTGTCATCCCCCCTCCACCAATGTCCTCCCATCAACCTGGTGGTGTCAATGTCCACATAAATAACCCATCCACCAATTTCAAGTTTTCTCACAACCCAGTGATCTTCACCTTACCCTGCTCCACTCCAGCCCCTCATCAGCCAGAACTGTCCCATGATGAAAATGCTAAACTCCAATATTCTACTCTCTAATATTCCTATGCTGCTAGCAATCTTGAACCTAATTCCTCCTCCAATAATTCTCTGACCTTCTCAAGACATTCACTCTTTTACCCTCTCTCCAATCCCACCTCCCCAGTTCTGTATAGACCACCATGGAGTCATAAACCACGTCTCCAAACAAAGTCCAACCCTCTTGTCCCACTCTCTGTTCTCCTACCTCCCTGGCCTTCCCACCACAATATGTGGCAAAGCCCCATCCCCAACCAACCCAATTATTTCCTATGCTTCTCCACCTGAGCTGATAACCACTGCGGGAGAAAAATAACAGAGCCTTGCAGACTGAGGCCACCAAGAATTCATGGTCTCTACCACCAGAAGCCTAGAAATCCTTTGGTGAACCCCAGACAATGCTCTTATTCCCCACAACACTTTCCCTATTCAGCGACGTCCTCAAGACGTGTACCTGCTAACTCTTAGGACATAATCTCACTCCTATTTCACAAAGCAAAATGAGGCAATTAGGGAACAACTCCTTCAAATGTTTGCCTACTCATAACCTGAAAAACAGTACTGTTCCCTTCCCTTCATTCCTTCCAACTTCCTCCTGAGTGTCCGTTCTCTTGCCAAGAGCTAACCCCATTACCTAGGTCTACCTTTTCAGGGAAACTCCCTTAACAGTCCCCTCTGTCTTGATCGTTAATCTCTCCTACTGACTCTGTCCCTTTAGCATGTAAACATGTTCATATATCTTCATCTTCCATTCAACAAAATAAATATTCTCTTGATCCCATTAGATATAAATCTGGCTAGGTCCGGTGGCTCACGCCTGTAATCCCAGCACTTAGGGAGGCCAAGGTGGGCAGATCATCAGAGGTCAGGAGTTCGAAACTAGCCTGGCCAACATGGTGAAACCCTGTCTCTACCAAAAATACAAAAAAAAAATAGCCAGGTGTGGTGGCATGCACCTGTAATCCCAGCTACTCCGGAGGCTGGGGCAGGAGAATTGCTTCAACCCGGGAGGCAGAGGTTGCAGTGAGCTGAGATCACGCCACTGCACCCCAGCCTGGGCGACAGGGGTGACAGAACAAGACTCCATCTCAAAAAAAAAAAAAAAAATTTTGCATATATATGACACTACCATGCCATAGCCCCTTCTGAAAAATGCCGCCTTGCCTGGTTTATTCTAGTTAATATGATCTATGTCAGACATTACAAAAAAAAAAAAAAAAACACTTCCAATACCCAGACAAAGCTGCCTGGGTGGACTGGTGCTAGAGCTAGAGAAGAGCAGACAGGCAGAGGCAGGGTGCCCCGTCCAGCATGGGTGAGAACTCGACCCATCCAGGTCCTGTCCAAACAGATATAACAAAATGTGAAGCACCCATGTCTTTGGACCAATGCTGAGATCTAGCTGCCCTTTTCTACAAAGCTGCTGTACATCTCAGCTGAAAAGAACTAAGACAAACCCCAAATGGCTGAATAACAAGCTGTCAAAACATGCTACCCATGAGTTAAAATTCACCATTTGGCAACTATCCGTGGTATTAGCTATTTCAGACAAAAATGACCAATGAATGTTAAAACTAGTTGGTGAAAGCTTAATGATTAAGAGAATTTGTATATAGTCTTAAAATACTTCCCCATAAGATATTTATTCATTTCAAAGCAGAAAATACTAAGGAAACCTGGCAGGCACCACCTTAAGTGATCACAGTGAAAATCACCAGTAATGGAACAAACAGATGGAATGTGCCTTCTGATATGATGCAGTAAGGAGGACACGCAACCTCCCTTTTGTGGTATTCCCGCCAAACGTGCACAGCCTGAATCTATCACAAGAAAACAGGAGACAAAGCAAACATAAGGAAAATCCTACAAAATAACTGTTCCGTACTCTTCAAAAACATCTAGATCTCAATGGACAGGTACTTAAGAATTGCCTCAGGCTGAAGACTAGAGAGACATGATAATTTAATGTGTGATCCTGGATTGGATATGAGATCAGAAAGTAACAGTATTTTTTTTTCTTCTGCTGTTGTCTTAGTCAGTTTGAGCTGCTATAACAAAATACCTTAGACTAGGTAACTTTTTTTTTTTAAGAGCCAGGGTACTGCTCAGTTGCCTAGGCTGGAGTGCAGTGGCACGATCATAGCTCACTGCATCCTTGAATTCCTGGGCACAAGCAATCCTCCCACCTCTGCACTACCACCACCCCCAACCCCAGTAGCTAGGACTACGGGCAAAGGCCACCATGCCCAGCTAAATTTTTAATTTGTCTTTAGAGACGGGGTCACATTATGTCACCTAGGCTGGTCTTGAACTCCTGGCTTCAAGCAATCCTCCCACCTCAGCTTCCCAAATTGCTGAGACTACAGGTGTGAGCCACCACACCAGGCTTGGACAATTTATAAACAGAAATTTATTTCTCACAGTTCTGGAGGGTGGGAGGTCCAAGATCAGTGTCTGGTGAGGGCCTACTCTTCATAGATGGCACCTGCTATGTGTTCTTACAAGGCGGACAGGAGAACAAGCTCCCTCAATCTTCTTTTTTAAGGGAACTAATCCCATTTACAAGGTCTCTGCCCCCATGACCTAATCATCTCCCAAAGGCCCCACCTCTTAATACCATTGCATTAGTGATTAGGTTTCAACAAGAATTTTGGGAGAATACGAACATTGAGACCATAGCAGCTACAAAGGAAATTAGTGGGACAACATGAATAAGGTCTGTGGTACTAACAATACTGTAACAATGTTAATTTGATGATCTTGGTAACAGTATTGATAATAGAGAATGTCCTTATTTTTAGGAATTAACACACTGAAGGGATGTAAAGGGGCATCGGGTATGCAACTTACTTTAAATGATTAAGAAAATAATAATAATATGGATACATACAGGCAATAAATAGAAGCCCATGGTAAAATATTAGTAACATTTGGGCAATCTGGGTAGAGACTACGCAGGAATTCTTTGTACTTTTTTTGGTAAATTTTCTCTAAGTCTAAAATTATTTCAAAATTAAAAAAACTTTTTGTTGTTGTTTTGTTTGTTTGTTTTGAGACACAGTCTCGCTCAGGCTAGAGTGCAGTGGTACAATTTTGGCTCACTGCAACCTCCACCTCCCGTGTTCAAGCACTTCCCGTGCCTCAGCCTGCCAAGTAGCTGGGATTACAGGCACGCGCCACCATGCCCGGCTAACTTTTGTATTTTTAGTAGAGACAGGGTTTCGCCGTGTTGGCCAGGCTGGTCTCAAACTCCTGACCTCAGGTAATCCACCCGCCTTGGCTTCCCAAAGTGCTGGGATTACAGGCATGAGCCACTGCGCCGGGCCCTTGTTGTTTTCTTAATGCCCAGAGCTGTGAGAAGTATGAGGAAAAACTCGCCAAAACCACAACTGTGACTGAAGGACTTCAAAACACTACTCTCCTTCTTTGGCAGACAGATCACATAAAAAATAAACACAGACAGAGAATTGAGAAGATTAGTAATCTTGTGCCTAAGAAAGAATACCTATTATTTGCCAATGACCATGATCATTTAAATAAAGGGGCAACCATAAACCTCCTTCTTTGACTCATTTCTGACTTTACTGGTGGCTCCATTTGTAATGTAGATCACCAACCACCCGGCCTGCAAAGTGCCAGAAGAGAGACTAAGAAGAGAATCCTAGTCACAGGAAGCCAAAAAAAAAAAAAAAAAAAAAAAAAAACCAAAAAAAAACTCCCCCAAAGTTCTCCAGAGACCCAAGAGCCTTTTCGAAACATACACACTGGCCACGCATAGTGGCTCATATGCCTGTAATTCCAGCACTTTGTGAGGCCAAGGTGGGCAGATCACTTGAGGTCAGGAGTTTGAGACCAGCCTGGCCAACATAGTGAAACCTCGTCTCTACTAAAAATACAAAAATTAGCCAGGTGTGGTGGTGGGTGCCTGTAGTCCCAGCTACTTGGGAGGCTGAGGCAGGAGGATCACTTGAACCTGGGAGGTAGAGGTTGCAGAGCCAAGATCATGCCATTGCACACCAGCCTGGGTGACAAGAGCGAAACTCTGACTCCAAAACAAAACAAAAAAAACCCCACAAAAATAATGAATAGTATTAAGAAGCCAAGCACAGTGCTCCTGTAATGCCAGCTATTCGGTAGGGGCTGACATACGTGGATCGTTTGAGCCCAGGAGTTCTAGTCCAGCCTGGGCAACACAGCGAGACCCCATTTCTTTAAAATAAAATTTTAAAAGTGTTAAGAACACTCATAAACCCATCACTCAAATCAAAAATTTTTTAAATGTTGATACATTTGCTATGTCTATCTTTTTGACTGTAGTATTTTCAAGAAAATCCCTCACATTTTTCACCCCTAAATACATCTATGTGTGTATGCAGATTTTTCTACTCAACCACAATTCCATTTTCACACCTAACAAAATTTAAAAATAACCTCTTAATATCATCCATCACTCATATACATTTCCCTTACAGAAGAGTTTTTAACTCCTAAGTTCCTCACACCAAAACCTTTTACCCCAGCAAGTTCACAATAGTGAACTGCCCTTACCACCAAAGGGCAACCTCTTTAGAGATGGAAGCAGGGAGGCAGCAAGGCTTGACCAACTACACCTCCCAAGTAACTATACTGCTAGGAGAGTCTATAAAAAAGGACAATTTCTACATGATGCAAAAATACCAAAATCCATTTTTAAAACAGAGGAAAAATATTTTCATTATACAAAGAGTAAATAACCTTAATGTAAATGGTACTTACACCCCAAAGTAAAAATGATCCAAGAGCATTAAAAATGGCAAAGGTGGATGTATCAATTCCAAAAAATACATTTAAAATATTCTTACTAGTAATCAAATAAGTACATATTCATATAACAACTTGCTATTTGTCATCCAAATTAGCAAAGATTTTTTTGAAAAAAGAATTCATACTGGTAAAAATGTGGCTCTGCAAGTGTGTAAAATGGAGAACAATTTGTCATTATGTTCCAAAATCCTTACTCTATTTCCAGGAATTATCCTAAAGAAAGCATAAGATATATACACATAATTATAGAAACAAGCATTTCATGGCAATGTTACTTATTCCTAATACTAAAAAAAAGATGATGTGAGGGTTAACCATCTACCCAATAGTAAGAGACTGGTTAAATAGATCATGGTTTGCCCCTAAGATGGATACTAGAGATTGACGTTGCTTAAAGTGTGGCCCGTGGACCAACTGTTAATAATCCACAATGAAATAAAGAGTTTAAGACAGAATGCAGATCAACCACAAAAATTTTTTAACAACAAAAAATCCTCAAGGAAGAAATCAGTAAATGAGTGTGGTGACTTACATCTGGCATAGACTCATCTTGTCCTGAAACAGTAAGAAACAGTTTATCTACATGACTATTTTAATTAGTACCACTACAGACTCTACTTCCAAAATATATCCCAAGTTTGCCTATATCCCTCTACATCTACTGCTACCATGAAATCCAAACTACTTCTCTGAAGAGCTGCAAAAGTCCTGTAGTTAGCCTACTGCCACTTCTGTTGCTCTACAATCTACTTTTCACTTGATAGCCAAAGTGGTTGTTTTGAAACGCTCATCAAACCATACTTATTCTGGATATTATAACTACAGAATTGAGAGTAGAAATAATCACAATATCTACCACCACCATCCTGGGCATATCTCATCCATACTTTGAAAAGAAGCAAAAAACACAAAAACTTTCTCCACATAATTTCCTCCCACTATTGCTTTTTTTTTTTTGAGACGGAGTTTCGCTCCTGTTGCTCAGGCTGGAGTGCAATGGCGCGATCTCGGCTCACTGCAACCTCTGTCTCCCAGGTTCAAATAATTCCCCTGCCTCAGCCTCCCTAGTAGCTGGGATTACAGGTGCCCACCACCACACCCGGCTAATATTTATATTTTTAGTAGAGACAGGGTTTCACCATGTTGGCCAGGCTGGTCTTGAACTCCTGACCTCAAGTAATCCACCCGCCTCAGCCTCCCAAAGTGTTGGGATTACAGGCGTGAGCCACCGTGTCCGGTCTTATTCCTTTAATAAAAGTGTAAAAGTCTGCTAAATATTAATGGGGAAAAACTAGAACTTTCCTGACAAAGTTAGAAACAAGACACACTATTTTGTATAAAACATTATCTTCTTTATTATTTTAACACTGTATTAAAGATACTATCCAATGCAATAAGAGACTGCAATTAGTGGTCTAAAAATTGGAAAAGAGGTAAAACTCTATTTACAAATAATATAATGATATGTCTGGAAAACCCCAAAGAATTTATGTGCTATGTATTACAAATCAGAGAACTTAGCAGGCTATATAAGAAACATATCAAAATCAACAGGCTTCATTTATTTATTTTTTTTTTTTTTGGAGTCTCGCTCTGTCGCCCAGGCCGGACTGCGGACTGCAGTGGCGCAATCTCGGCTCACTGCAAGCTCTGCTTCCCGGGTTCACGCCATTCTCCTGCCTCAGCCTCCCGAGTAGCTGGGACTACAGGCGCCCGCCACCGCGCCCGGCTAATTTTTTGTATTTTTAGTAGAGACGGGGTTTCACCTTGTTAGCCAGGATGGTCTCGATCTCCTGACCTCATGATCCACCCGCCTCGGCCTCCCAAAGTGCTGGGATTACAGGCGTGAGCCACCGCGCCCGGCCCAGGCTTCATTTATTAAAAAAAAAAAAAAGGGAAATTCAGTTAGAAACATAATGGAAGAGAAAATCCTACTTATGAAAGCAAAAAATAATAGAACATCTGGCATAAACTCAATAAGGAACTCTATGAGGAGAGTCATAAAAACACTCCCAAAAAACCACAAGAGATTTAAACAAGTAAAAAGACATACCATGTTCTTGTATAAGAAGATACAACATCACAATGATGTCAGTTCTCCCTATACTAATTTGTAAATATAATACAACCTCAATAAAAAGAAAAAACCTTTGAGTTTTCTTCCCACAGCTAGACAAGCTAATTATAAAGTTCATCTGTAAAAACAAACAAGCAAGAACAGCCAGAAGACCCTGAAAAGGGAAAGAAAAGAGAGAGGAATAGCCTTGCAAGATAATTCTTATACAGCTCTATAATTAAAACAGTGTGGTAGTGGCACATAATTAAAGAGAGACTAATGGAACAGTACAGAGAATCCAGAAATGAACTCAATTATGAATGGAATTTATCTCAAATTAGTGTGGGGGAATGAACAAAATAAGTGGTGCTGGGAATAATTCCATAGCCATATGGAAAAAAAGATTAAACTGAATTTATTCCTCATATCATACACCAAGATAAATTCCAAATGGATTGAAGATTTAAATGTGAAAAATAAAACCATTGAGTACATGGGTAAATATTTTATAACATGGAGTATGGAAAGCTTTCCCATTATGACTCAAACTCCAGAAGATATTAGGGGAAATATTGTTAGAATTAATTACATAAAAATTTAAATTTGCAATGACAAGTCATTTTTTAAATTTTATTTATTTATTTATTTTGAGACCAAGTCTTGCTTGGTCACCCAGGCTGAAGTACAGTGAGTGGCGCGACCTCAGCTCACTGCAACCTCCACTTCCCGGGTTCAAGTGATTGTTATGCCTCAGCCTCCCAAGTAGCTGGGATTACGGATGTGCACCAACACACTCAGCACATTTTTGTATTTTTAATAGAGACGAGGTTTTGCCATGTTGGCCAGGCTGGTCTCCAATTCCTGGCCTCGAGTGATTGCCCACCTCACCCTCCCAAAGTGCTGGGATTACAAGTGTGAGCCGCCACGCCCAGCCGACAAGTCATCTTAAAACAAAAGGAGAAATAAAGAAATGGAAAGAATATTTGCAATATAGAAAGAGATGCCAAAAATGGAAGGAAAATACAAACGACCCTTTGGAGAGAGTCTAGAGTGATATGGACAGATAGTTAACAAAAAAAGGAATGCAGAGTTTAAACATGTGAAAAGATGCTCAATCTCAATCACGATATGAGAAGTAAAATGATAACTAAAAACCATAGTGAGATATCACAAAATATTCTATGGCAAGGCAGTAGAGAAATAATACTTTCTGATACACTGCTGGTAAAAATTCAGAATGGTACAACCCTTATAGAGGGAAATTGAACAACACCTAGCAAAATTCACATTAAAAAACAAAAAAGATGACTCTCAGCACTTTGGGAGGCTGAGGCAGGTGGGTTGCTTGAGCCCAGTAGTTTTGAGACCTGCCTGGGCACCATAGTGAGACTCCATCTTTACAAAAATTAGCCAGGCGTGATGTGGTCCCAGCTACTCAGGAGGCTGAGGCAGGAGGATCACCTGAGCCCGGGAGGTCGAGGCTCCGGTGAGCTGTGATTGCACCACTGCTCTCTAGCCTGGGCAACCCTGTCCAAAAAAAAAAAGACTTATGCACAAGGTCATATAATAATGTAGGGAAACAACTCAAATGTTCAAATGTTCACCAACATGAGCTGGTTAGCTAAGGTATAGACAGATCAAGCCGGTGGAGCACTGTGCTGCTAAAAAAGGAAGGAGGAACTGATTCAAACTATTAATAAAACATGGATGAACCTTGAAAACATTATGCTAACTGAAAGAAACCAGACACAAAGGCCAGAAATTATATGATTTTACTTAAATCAAACGTTCATTGGTAAATTCAGAGAGACAGAAAATAGATTAGTGGTTGCCAGAGGCTGGGGGTGTAGCGGGTAAAGGGGCAGGAGGCAATGGGGAGGGACTGTTATTAGGTACAGGGTTTCTTTGATGAAAACATTCTAGGATTAGTGGTAATGGTTGCACAACTTTGATTATACTAAAAAACCAATGAATTGTCTACTTTATAAGGGCGAGTATATGAATTATATTTCAATTTTTTTAAGAATGAACAATTCCTCCATAGACAACTATGGAGTGATCCCAAGGATATGCTGTGAAGCGAGAAAAGCAAATCAAGAGTACTATGTACAGTATGCCACCATTTCTCTAAAAGGGGTATAAATATATGAACATCAATATAGGTAATAAGAGCAATTGACTGAAACATATCAAATACATTAAAATACTTAACTTCATAGTAATACAAATAACATTTAACAGGTCCCCTTTGGAGGATATTAGGAAGTCAAACCATTATTCTGAAAACTGGTATAATAAATGGAGAACAAGAAACAAGCATTTATCCTGCCTATGCTATTCAAACTTTATCACATAGTTAATGAGAGGAGCTTCTCTTTATAGAGGTATTCAGTATTAAATGAAAAAGTAATGAGAGAATTAGAATATCACCATTTGCCGCCATATCACCACTAATGAATGAAATATGTGATGACTGTGGCCAGGACTAGTGGCCCGCACCTGTACTTCCAACTCCTCGGGAGGCTGAAGCAGGAGAATAGCTTTAGCCCAGGAGTTCGAGGCTGCATTAAGCTATTATCATGCCACTGCACTCCAGCCTGGTAGCCTGGGGGACAGAGCAAGACCCTGACTTTAAAAAAAAAGAAAAAGAAAAAGAAAAAGAAAGGAAGAAAGAAAGATGTGATTATCATCACAAGATCGTGTATCATCTCCACCCTGAATCAAGGCTGGTATATGTAATGCATAAAATACAGTGGAACTGACAATATGTAGTCTAGGCTAGGTCAAACAGGGCATTGTAGCTTCTGCTTTGACTTCCTGGATCACTTCTCTGCGGGAAGCCAGCGGGTACCTGAGCAGCCCTGTGAAGCTGACACACATGGAGAGGAATTGGGCCTTTCCTCAAACCCCAAAACATCCTGCACTAACTTGGCCAATCATATGAGTGAAGCACCTTGGAAGTGAATCCGCTGGCCCACTAAAGGTTTTGGATGACCAAAGACCCAGCCAACACCTGACTGCAACCTCAAGAGAGACTATGAGCCAGAACTATTGAGCCCCGCTTCTCTCAAATTCCTGAACCAAAGAAACAGTGAGAAATAAATGCTTATTACTGTTTTAAGCCAGTAAACTTTGGGGTAATTTGTTATGCAACAAATACAACATAATTCTACTTTTGTACATGTTATAAATTCTCCACAATAAAATATTTCAAAATACTAAGTTGAGTAATTACAGACAATCCTTTAAACACAATTCCTTTATTCTGGCAAACACATATAATAGATTAAATTGAAGGAGAGGAAGAAAGAGCTAATAAAAATTTGTTGCTTTTCTACCTCACTGCCTTAAGAAAAGTATCATTTATCACATTATCTCAGTTAATCTCAAAAACTCTAAAAGATAGAATTCATTATTCCCATTTTGCAGATAAGAAAAGTGATGCTCAGAGAAGATAATAACTTGTTAAAAGTGCACAGTGGTAGAGGCAGGGTATAGGAAGTCTCTGTTCTTTCCACCACATCTCAAAGCCCTTTTAACCTTGTAATTTCTCTATCAAGCCCATCAGGATCAAAGTTGCTAAGGTCCAAATCTGTGAATTTTGTATGTAAATACTACCTTCCATCCCTTACAAAACATCTCTCTGCTTCCCCTGTTCTCACCAACAAATGCAGGGTCATTTAGTGTAGCCCTTAATTCTAAGCAACTAGAAATTGATGAAGAAAGAAAAAAGTGACAAGAGTACAAAGCTCCATTTAATATCCCCAGATTTCTGTTTAACTGTGGATGGGGCTGTTCTTCAGGAAACGATTATTAGAGTTAACAGTGGATCAGGTTCTCCAAAATTCTCCCACTCCCACTCTTTTGTTTCCAAAGTAAGAGGGTGATTATACAAGCCAATATAATATTATATTTCCTTCTTTGTTCCCAAGGGTAAATTGTATAACTGGGTATTATATAATCATTTATAAATCATCAAAATTAATTTCCAAATAAATTCTTAAAAAGAAAGCCCTAATCTACTTTTCGGAGTCTAACAATACTGTATGTTAAAACCATTATTTTCTTCTTTTTTTTTTATTCTATTATTATTATACTTTAAGTTTTAGGGTACATGTGCACAATGTGCAGGTTAGTTACATATGTATACATGTGCCATGCTGGTGTGCTGCACCCATTAACTCGTCATTTAGCATTAGGTATATCTCCTAATGCCATCCCTCCCCCCTCCCCCCAACCCACAACAGCCCCCAGAGTGTGATGTTCCCCTTCCTGTGTCCATGTGTTCTCATTGTTCAATTCCCACCTATGAGTGAGAACATGCGGTGTTTGGTTTTTTGTCCTTGTGATAGTTTACTGAGAATGATGATTTCCAATTTCATCCAGGTCCCTACAAAGGACATGAACTCATCATTTTTTATGGCTGCATAGTATTCCATGGTGTATATGTGCCACATTTTCTTAATCCAGTCTATCATTGTTGGATATTTGGGTTGGCTCCAAGTCTTTGCTATTGTGAATAGTGCTGCAATAAACATACGTGTGCATGTGTCTTTATAGCAGCATGATTTATAGTCCTTTGGGTATACACCCAGTAATGAGATGGCTGGGTCAAATGGTATTTCTAGTTCTAGATCCCTGAGGAATCACCACACTGACTTCCACAATGGTTGAACTAGTTTACAGTCCCACCAACAGTGTAAAAGTGTTCCTATTTCTCCACATCCTCTCCAGCACCTGCTGTTTCCTGACTTTTTAATGATTGCCTTTCTAACTGGTGTGAGATGGTATCTCATTGTGGTTTTGATTTGCATTTCTCTGATGGCCAGTGATGGTGAGCATTTTTTCATGTGTTTTTTGGCTGCATAAATGTCTTAATTTGAGAAGTGTCTGTTCATGTCCTTCGCCCACTTTTTGATGGGGTTGTTTGTTTTTTTTCTTGTAAATTTGTTTGAGTTCATTGTAGATTCTGGATATTAGCCCTTTGTCAGATGAGCAGGTTGCGAAAATTTTCTCCCATTTTGTAGGTTGCCTGTTCACTCTGATGGTAGTTTCTTTTGCTGTGCAGAAGCTCTTTAGTTTAATTAGATCCCATGTGTCAATTTTGGCTTTTGTTGCCATTGCTTTTGGTGTTTTAGACATAAAGTCCTTGCCCATGCCTATGTCCTGAATGGTAATGCCTAGGTTTTCTTCTAGGAAAACCATTATTTTTCTAACAATAAAGTTGAAGCTTCCCTTTTAGGCAACTGCAATTTATTGAGTGTTTTATAATTTTTTACACATTGACAGACCATTTTACATTCAAAATTTAATTAAAACTGGACAACTACCACCACTTTACAAATAAGAAAAAGCTAGGGCCCCGAAAGGTTATGAAACTTGCCAAAGGTCAAAAAGCAGGGAGAGACAGGGTTGAGTTTTGGACCAGTACTCTCTGGCTCCAAACCTGTCTTCTAACAACATTACACAAGAAGAAAAAAACCCTACAAAAATCATCCAGCAAATAAAGTGTAATGTAAATGTCTCATCTTCAATTCGTCTTCCTACTGGGCCAATCTGAACATTGCTTTTGGCTTAATTCTGTCAGGTTAGAATGGTGAGTGAGAACGTGCCACTTCCCCATATCTAACTGAAAAAGAACAGCTAAAGTTCAGAGAAAAATCAACATAGAGGATATTTATGATACTTGCAAAGTCGTTTCTAAGAACAGTTTGGAAGGAGGGAATGGGGAGGACAGCCAAGATTTCAATACAAAGGAGAGAAAAAGGAAATAGGGACTCTGAAACTAACTTCCAGGACATATTTCTCAGACTTAAAATAGACTTGACCTTAGGATTGTCATGAGAAAAGCCAGAACAAATGAAGTCATCATATATAAACTTCACTCTCAGGAACACGACTGGGGGAAACACAGAACTAGGTTAAGGGACACTGATTAGCCAATAACTGCTCCCCTCCTTCAGCTGAGTTTTCCTACAGGTCATACTTTAAGGCTATTAAAGTCACTATTATCTCAAAAATGTTCCATGCAACCTCACAGGGGCTCCAACCTCCTACTAACCCTAATTAAAAGTTGAAATGGGTGACAGAAAAAAAGACTGTTCCCTTTGAAGTCAGTTCATTCATTTGACAAATACCAATGAGTGTAGGCACTGTAGTGGTCCCTAGAGACATAATGACTGGCATAAATAGGCCCAGCGTCCTCAAGTTTAAACATCAGGAGAGGCAATCAAATACATACAGACATGTGAACTCCTAGCTGTGGTTCAGGACATGGTGCCCACAGAGGATATAACAGGGAAACTACACACTCCCTTCTGTGTGTAAGGAAGAGAGGGAAGCAGCTTATCAGATAAGGTTTCCAAAATGATGAGTATTATTTTGCAAAAAGGAAGTCAAACTGTTTGAGACTGAGGCTAAAGCACATGCTAAGTCCCTAAGACCAGAAGGGACAGGTGCATATGAACATGTGGCTCAAGTATAATAAACACTGAAAGTTTTTTTGATGGACATTTTTATTGAAGGTTAACATACTTACAGAAAAGAATATAAACCCTAAGTGTGCAGCTTGGTTAATTATCACAAAGTGAACTCACCCATATAATTACCACCTAGGTCAAAAATAGAACATTCAAAAGCCCTCAAGCCTTCTCCAAATCACTACCCCTCCCCTTCCTCAAAGGTGAGCCCTGTCCTAACTGCCAACACCATAGTTCTGCCTGATTTTGAACTTTGTATAAACTAAATCATATAGCATGTAATCTTTTTTTGTCTGGCTTCATTCACTCAACACGATGCTTATGAAATTCATGCATGGTGTTGCATGTAGCAATGATCTTTCATTTCCATTGCTATAAAGTGTTTCATTATATGCTTATATTACAGCTTATTCTTCTGATGAACTATGGGGTTATTTCTAGTTTTTAGCTAGTACGACTAATACTACAATGGACATTCTAGTAGTGACTTTTGGTGAACATATCTACACATTTCTGCTGGCTATATAACTGGAAGTAGAACTGGTGGTGAGAGAACATGCATATTTTCAACTTCAGTAAATATTGCCAACAGTTTTCCAAAGTAATCTTGCTAATTTACATTCCTGCTAACAGCATGTGACATTTGTTTTTTGTTTGGTTAGTTTTTGTCATAACAGACAAGATAACCTACCACAGTCCGGAGAAAATCTAAACTTTTGATGAAAACTGGCCAGGAAAAATACAATGGCCAATAGTCCCTTCTCCAGCCTGAAATCCTTGTGAGTACTTCTTTCCACAAATTTTATTATTTACCAACGAAAAGTCCTAAATTTTACAATGGGTATGATCTTAGGACAACAAATTCCATTACAAAGAAGGATCTGTAACATCCTTATTTCTAGGTCATAGAAAACAATGTGTAGGAATAGTATTTTGTTGGTCTGATTATAAACATTCTGTATTACCTACAGTCCAAAAGGATTTTCTAGTAGTCACTTTGAAAAGAAAGACTTTAGTTTTTACATCTCTTACATTAACAGGTAGAAGAGAACTAAAATTGTCTCCATAGGTCAGTTTTTTAGACTGCCTTTGCCTAGTCACAAAATAAAAATTACCTAGCTCTTATACCCTTTTCCACTTTGAATATCCTCAGACCCTAAACATCACACACACACACACACACACACACACACACACACTCTCTCTCTCTCTCTCTCTCACACACTAACACACCAGGAAGTGAAGAAAAAGGTCAGAAGTTGTGTGAAGGACACTTCCTTCTTTTTTCTTTTTACAGGACTCAAAACTTGTACCTCCCATGGGCCCAGTGTCAGAACAGGAGCCCTGAAGACAAGGGACAGACCAGCTTGGGAGAGATGCCTGGAAAGCCTCACAGGCTTACTAAGGTGGAATAGGTGCTGAACTCGAGACACAGGGAGAGGGAGGCTCTCTCTGTACCCCCAGCAGACAATGTTGGCAGACTATGCCTTAGCGAGGTTCAGCAAATGCAGATGGCTCAGCAGACAGGGGCAAGGTGGAATAGGGTGGGATGAAGGTGGTAATGGAGGATTCAGGCAGACTAGAGGAGGGAGGAAGTTCATATCAGGTGATAGGCTCGCACCCTTGGGGCCTGGAGTCAGAAAAGGGTTTGGCCGAATGCAAAGAAGACCTCAGCTGTGGGGAAGCTGGAGTACTGGCAGGTAGCCAGGATAAGGTATAAGAGCAAGACCTATACCTGGTAGCAGAATTTAAAATGGGAATGTGTCCACAGCCACAGGGTCCGGTTATTAAAAATGGGGCCCAGAGTGTGGAACTAGAATGACTTCAACTTTCTCCAACTGAACTGGGGGTGGGGGATGAGTTACACAGTATGGAGGAAGGGTCTGGTGAGGGGAAGCAGATATAGCTAAGGTTCAAGGAGAAAGGCAGTAATGGGGTCTGACAGAGTATTACGGGTATCAGCACGTGGAATTCTGAAAATATATTGAAGCAAATATAATTAACCCATATTTCACCATCACAACATTGCAAAGTTCCCTGGCTTCTGATCCCTCCCTGAGCCACTGACTATGCAGGCACAGACACTGTAGGGAAAGTCCTGGAATAGGACTTTCTGCAAAGGCCACAGCTGCCCAGACCACTCCCTATTAGAGGGAGCCAGCTTCTGACTCTCCCACTGTCACTCCTAGATACCCTGAGGCTCATAACACACAGCAATGCCACCCCTGCCACCTTCTCTTGACCTCTAAGTCACTCACATACATTAAGGACCTCAGTGCTTCAAGCTCACTCCAAGTACTACCATCACCCTGGGCAAGGTCAAGGTTCATATGGCAACACAACCACCTCACCCTTCCCTTTAATTCTGACTATGAGCTGCAGTCCAACCCCACTCCACTACAGGCACCACTGTATGGCCATACTTAGGAATGTCATTTGGCAGAATGTCCAAGAGCTCTCTCTGACCACAAATTTCCAATTCATCAGTTCTCCCTCATACATATTCGCATTTATAATAATTATTTAAAAAATAATAATACGCAACACTCTGGGAGTATTTACTATGTACTCAACACTATTGGGAGACTCATTTAATCCTCCCAGCACTCCTGTGATGTACGTATTATTCTCATTTTATATGACTTGAAATCTGAGGCACAAACAGGTTAAGTAATTTGCCCAAGGTCTCACAGCTATAAAGTTGCAGAGCTGAGATCTGAAAACAATGTGGTGGGGCACCGAAGTATGTGCTCTCTTTCATTATTTTTTACATTTTATTGAACATACACAGAAAGTACATATAGCGTAACTGTACTAATAGATTTATTTTTGCAAACTGAACGTACCTGTATAACCAGCACCCAGATCAAGAAGCAACATTACCGGCATACTAGAAGCCGCCCTGTGTCCCCTCCCAGTACCACTGTGCTGAATTCTAACAGCACAGATCTGTTTTGCCTGCTTTTGTGCTACTGTGGCTGGCTGCTTCTTCAGTCTTCACTTACCACCACCACCCATGCTGAATCGTGTTGAGAAGCTCCACCTATTAGGCACTGCTCTAAGCATATAATCATTTGGCCCCTTTAACTGACACTGCCTGGCCCTATATCATCTGTTCTCCTAGTCCCCCTCTAATGCTTTTCCCTTCTATCAAACCCAAACCCACATCCCACACTTTTGCTCTCTCATCAGTAGCTACTGGACATTCTGCGAAATGCAAAACTCCAATTCCAGATCAATCTAACTGTCTATCTTTCACCCATGTACAGAAGAATGGCCAAACACTGCTGAAGATCACACAGCTTGCAGAATGGTAATTAAATGCACAATGTCCCACCACAGCTGGACACCAAGTGCTGCCGAAGGTGCTTTCTCCATGTCCCCAACCACTCCTCCTCTCCTCTTCGTAGGGACTAGTCCAAATTCCAAATATTCCCTCTTCTCAAGTACATGTCAAAAGTCTCTAATGCCAGAAGGGACATCATATACATGCCCTAATCTCATCCTCCCACTCGCAATACAGTAGCCTAATTCCCTCCTATTTCAGTGAGCAATCCTAAAAATGTTTACCAGGGGTAAGTTTAAAAGGCAAACCAGGGAAAAAAAAAAAGTTATTCACCACACATGACAAAAAGATTAACATTCTTAACTTTTAAAAAATCTACACAAGAAGAAAAACTCTATTTCTCCAATAGGAAAACAGCCAAAGTAATAGACAATATAAAAAAAATTACAAATGGTTGATAAACATATGGACAAAGACTGATATCCGTTTCAAATCAACTTAATGCAAATAAAATTGGCCAAGATTAAAAATGGGTAATACCACATTCTTCCAGGTAGACTAAATGTTAATTCCCAAATCAAACTAACTGAGTGCCTGGACCATGTACTTTAGCCCCACCTGGAATCTGTGTATGGCATCCTGCCCTCAGCTTGCACTGAGAGACATTCACCACCACATTTATGATGGCAACATTGTTCAGAACCTTGTCCCTCTGAAAGGACCCATGAGAATACTTTCTTTTATTATTATTATTATAATAATAATACTTTAAGTTTTAGGGTACATGTGCACAATGTGCCGGTTAGTTACATATGTATACATGTGCCATGCTGGTGTGCTGCACCCATTAACTCGTCATTTAGCATTAGGTATGTCTCCTAATGCTATCCCTCCCCCCACCTCACAACAGTCCCCAGAGTGTGATGTTCCCCTTCCTGAGAGAATAATTTCTTTAGGTCTGAGCTCAGAAACTGTACTTCTCCTGAGTCATTTGCCATTTTTAAATCTCCAGAATTCTGCAACTGTTTTCGTATTTGGTGAGGCTGTGGAAGCTCAGAGCCGAACGTGTGACCCAGCCCCATGGCAATCATGCATGCCCCTGTGGCATGTGTTTCCACATACTGACCTCACTCCTGACTTAATTGGTCAGTTCTCGCCATGTTCCCTTGGCCCAATTTCCTTTTTTTTTTAAACTTATTATATGTATTTTTTAAGTTACTTAAACTCTTTTTGAAACAAAACGAGAGAGGGCAGTCCTAATGCTGAGGTTGTCCCCACTCTCCTGTCCTCCATATTCTGAGAGGAATGAATCAGATTGGACTTTCACAGTTTTCATTTGTCACCACAGGTGTATAAGGTGTCTGTGTCCTGGGCTAATGAATTCTGATTGTGCAAATTAGCTTCTTAAGCAATAGTCCCTAAATACTTGGTGATTTCTAATTGCCTTACTAAATACCATATAATTCTCTCAAAATGTTCTTTTAGGAACACCAGGGGGCATATTTTTCAAGACGGAGGTGCTATAAAATCAACAAATTTGACAAGCTATTCAAATTCTAAAATGGCCTGGAATATTTAACTCAAAATATTAAAAGTTCCTGTAATAACAGCTGGGCACAGTGGCACATACTTGTAATCCCAACACTTTGGGAGGCCAAGGCAGGAAGATTGCTTGAGTCCGGGAGTTCAAGACCAGCCTGGGCAATATAGTGAGAACCTTTCTCTACAAAAAAATTAAAACATTAGCCAGATGTGGTGGTGCATGGCAGCAGTCCCAGCTACTCAGGGGGCTGAGGTGAGAGGATCATTTGAGCCCAGGAGCTCAAGCTGTGATCATGCCACTATACTCCAGTCTGGGTGACACAGCAAGACCCTGTTTCAAAACAAAAAACAAAAAAAAGTCCTATAGTAATATAGAGATAATACCCAGCTATAAAACAAATGCATACTGCAATGTGTAAGATAAATGTATTCTATATACTTCCTAGATGAAAAGACAAACTTTAGAAAAGTCACTAAAACAAAACAGGAAAAAAAATCATATGGACTATGTTGAGTCCATATGATTCCATTATGGTGGAAGAGAAATAAAATGTCATAATGTATTCTTCAAAGAAACTATGTATCATTCAATCCAGAGAGAAAACATTGTCTAAAGGTAAAAAAAAAAAAAAAAGAATATTAAAAAATGTAATTATCCCCACTCTAATTCCAGAGAATGGGGAAGTGAAACTAAGATACATCCATTCAGACCCAACTTGGTTGTGTTCAAGTATTCAAAGAAACATCATAGAACTGACAGCAATGAACGGAAGCAGAACTTAGAGATTCAGATTGTATCCTTTCTCTCTCCCTATTCCTCTTCCATTTCATTGGTTGTATCAGCCAGGATGCTTGTGGTTGCAAGTCAAGAAAATTAATCTTAAAGTATTAGGCGATAGAGTGGATTTACTGCCTCATGCTAACGCAGAGTCCAGGGTCAGCTCTTGCGAGCTTCAGGAAAGGTTTGGTAGGACTTCACAATACGGGTTTGCAATTCTCTAAGCCTATTCTCACCCAGGAGTTGGCTTTGTCCTCACTGTGGGGGGCTGTGAGGGAGGTGGGAGGAACATCTTCCCCCAACCACTCCATAGTCTGATTGGGACAGTTTCTATGACATGCCTGCCCCTGAATTAGTAACTGGGACCAGATGAATTCCATGTCCTGCTCAGCTTGGGCCTGGGTTATGTATCTATTACTGAACCAATAAATGAGGCAAGGATGTTGCTGGGGCCCACCCTAGAGCTGGAAATGAGCTCAATCCCACCCAAACTACACAACTATTATGCATGGCAAAGGGGAAAAGGGGAAGCAACAAATGTTACCAAAGAAGCTGTGGCAGAGGCTGGCTTGCTGGCTACTGAAACTCAGTTCCTCTTCTTATTGGGCACACAGCTAGATCATATTTCCCAGCCTTCAGTGAAGTGTGGCCATGTGGCCAATGGAAAGTAAGTAATCTGACATGGACCACTTCTAGACCTGGCCGTTAAAAACCTCTCACTCATGACCCTCCATGCTCTTTTCTCCTTTTGGGAGCTTGTCCATATAGACAAGCATGGCAACCTTGGCAACCATATGTTGAAGATAAAAGAGCCACAGATAGAAGGAGCCTTAGTCCCTGAATCACTGCTTTGAGAACAGTCTTCCACTCTTCTCTAAGGACAGGGTAAAATGAGAAGTGATGAGCAATGCAGGGTAATTAAATATCTCTTAGGCAGGCTACACGAAGTAAGGGAGAACGTCAACTGGGAAGCCTTGTTGAAATTTTCCTACAAATTACCTATTCTTCTCTTAGCAAACAGAGTAAGTGGAAAAGTTCTCTAACAATTCAGAATACAAACTGCCTCAGGGTAAGATTAGGAATAAAAACTATCATTACATATAAAAGTAGTATTAATTCTTATGCTGAAAAAGCGTTTTGGGGCCTTGGCTGAACCCCAGTGCAGGGACAGCTATTGTTCTGATCAGTACCCTCACCTCCTCTGAGGGGCGCTCCCCCTCATTGCAACTATCCTGTTCTGTGAAAGTTGTTGCCCATCGCAGAGGTCGTCCACTGGCTGCTGGGGTGGGCAGGTGTTTCCAAGCCAGGCCCATCTTGGTTTTTCCCCAGGATTTTCAAATTGGAATTAAGGGAAGAAGCTCTCTACTGATGAAGTTATAAAATGTGAGGCCAGGAGCTACTGATGGACATTGTTTCCTGTTGAACAGCAAAAAGTAGCCCAAGGAAACAAAGATGGCACCAATGACAGGGAAAGATGGAAAAAAAGTCCTGGTTTCATTTGTACCAGAGGCCAGCATACCCATGTCCTTCCCTTGGTCTGGTTATGTAAGCCAGAATATGGTGATCCACAAATTCCACTTCTGGCTTCAGCTAGTTTAGAATGCATTATGTCACTTACAGTCAAAAGAAACCTGACCAATATAATCAGGAAACTTGACTGAAAAAAAAAAATTCATGACATCTCACTAAACTCAAAGAAGTAAAATGAAAAACACAGAAATACCAAAGTATAGTTGTGATATAATAAGAAATACATATTTTGGTCTTCTTCCACAATTCCTCACTCATAGCTTATCTTTTGTTAAAATATTTGGTCTTTTGTCCTGAAACAGCTCTGGAGCAGCTCCAGGCCAATAAAGGTGAAAGAAGTGACTTCTGTTATTCCTAACAAGCCCCTTCCACAACACCGGAGTTTATGCTAATGAGGTGATTTGTGGAAAGCCCCTAGATAACCACAAGATGGGGTGCTGGTTACCACAGCAAGCAACCACAGGATTAAAGGGTTGGGATTTTCAGCATACCTCCCCCACCTCCCCCAGGAAAGATGAGAGGAAATGGGAATCGCTTCTCGGCCTTTTGGCTAAGATCAAGTGGAGAGGAAATGGGTTGAGAGTTGAGCTGATAACCAATGGCCGATGATTTAATCAACCATGCCTATGTAATGAAGCCTCCATAAAAATCCAGAAAGATGTGTTCAGGGACCATCCAGGTTGGTGAACAAGAACACATCCACATGCCAGAGGGTGGCGCACCCAACTCTACAGGCACTGAAGCTCCTGTGCTTGGGACCCTCTAGACCTAGCCCTGTGTATCACCTCTTTGTCTGTCTGTTCATTTGTATCCTTTAATAAATATATCCTTCCTAATAAACTGGTAATCTAGTAAGTAAACTGTGAGCCAGTCTAGCAAATCATCAATCCCAAGAGGGTGGTCATGAGAACTTCCAATTCGTAGCCAAGTCAGACAACAATTAGGGGCAACCTAAAGACCTACTACTTTCGATTGGCATCTGAACTGGGGGGGCAGCCTCCTTAACCTGGGGGGTCTACACTAATTCCAGTCAGAATTGAATTGAACTTTAGGGCACCCAAGCTGGTGTCCACAAACTGAAAAGCTGCTTTACGTGTGTGGGAGTTTTTTAGGAGGCCAATGCAGGAGGATCACTTGAGGCCAGGAATTCAAGACCAGCATGGGCAACATAGCGAGACCCCATCTCTTAAAAAAAAAGGTAGAATTTTGAAAAGGTGAACCTTTAAGGTAACCTCAAGCCCCCTGGATTGTCATAAGATTAACTTAGTTCATGCACAAAGTACTTAGAACAGTGCCTGGTATGCAGTAAACAGTCAATACATGACAGCTTTATTGTTATACCAGTCTTAGTTATTTCCAGGCTAGTGACCCACGCTTTAATAAGGTGTCACAGCTAGAAACGTATCAAGCTGATCATAGAAAGTGTGTTTGTGCCACACACTCACTGTGATCTCATAATCCAACACTCAGCAGTGCACCATCAAATCCAGAAGATCTTTGATTTGTAATGACGTCTTCAGGTGCCCAACAAGGTGAAGCCACTTCAACAACCTCAGATCCCTCCTGGAGTTCAACAAGGATACCCAGTACCAGCCACCATGCTCTTCCAGTCCCTAGGATATCCATCCATTCTCCGTGACCTTCTTCCACTCTCTGGGTCCTCAAGGCCATAGTGAAACAGTCAGGAGGGAAAAACTGTCCTACAGCAGACCACAGGAACCTCTCCATCCTCTGAGCATGCATGACTTTGACAGTTGGAACCCTTTATCATATCTTAGTCTTGCCTTTTTTTGTTTTTGTTTTTGTAATGGAATATTGCAAATACAAAAAAAAGGGGGCATTTTTTCCAGACATAAAATCTTTTAACAGTTACCTACTTCCTTCTTAGTGCTCTACCTTCATCGAGGTTTTTTTGGTTAATTACACTGATTAAATTGGGAAGAAATTCTTGCGGAGCATTGGCAAGGAAACTGCACCGTCAAAAGTCCAGAGGTTATCAAGTCCCTGGAAATGTGAGTACTCGAGGCATTCAGTGTGTGAGGCACAGGAAGAAGCTGGAGAGGGCGCAGGAACCCATCAGGCTGGGCTTTACAGACCAAAGAAAGGAGTCTGAATTTGGCAACTGGGAGTTACAGGGGGTGTTAGACAGGGGAACAGAACAATGGTATCTGCATTTGCTCACTCTGCTCCTTTTCTGAACCTCTGCTTGCAGGGTAGAGATCTCCTAGACCTCTGCATGTAGGTTCTGGTTATCTGGGAGTTAGAAAAATGAGGTCTGAAGACAAGTTTTTCAGAAGAATGGATAAGGTGGGATAAAAATTCCAGAAAATGTCCTCATAAGGAAGAAAAACAGGGCAGATTATTTTAGCTACCTGGCTCTACAGTGGTAAAGAAAGCTAAGAAGGCTGAGGGCCAGAGCAAAGCACTCACTGCCACCATTTAGAAACCACTGACTCCAAATGGACCTGGTGGGGAGGAGCCAGGGCCCAGTTCACATGCCATGCTTGAAGGTCTTTCCAGAGCCTAGCTATGGGACAGGTACACTTCTCTGATTAGCCAGGGCCTGCACACTGGAAGAACAAGGCCAGTTCATAATAACCCTGAACAGAGACCACCTCCAGCCAGCCTACATTATTTTACTACAGCAGAAACTGAGCACAGTAAGCAAAGCTAGCCCTATAAACAACTGAACCTAAACCAAAACCATGTGATTACCCAAGAGATTCAGTGGGATCTGAAGCTGTCCTACACTGCAGAAACATTCTTGGCCTTGCAAGACAAACACAGCTTTTGGCACTGAAAACTGTTTTTTGGTTTACAGGCCAGAAAACCAGTGCACCCCTGTTTATTTTTCCATTATCAGTATATTCAGCAGCACTGAAAGGATTATAACACAGCTTCCTTCTCCAGTGACCCACTGGTGAGAAAACAAAATTCTGGTTAATAGGCAAAGAAAAACAAGAAAAGTCTGTCACTTCTAAGGTGCATTAACAGATTAGAAGGTATCTTCCTATACCTTCTCTCATGTCCACATTTTATATACAAGGAACCGTGGCTCACAGACAAGTTATTCAATTTGCTCCAGCTCACACAGCTAAATAAGTACCAAAGCCAAAGAGAAAGCCCAGAATTTGAACGCAAGTTTTCAGATTTCAATTCCCCCGCTCTTTTTAACTGTATTGCAGCAACAATATGTTTAGATTTCTATACAGGTTTTATAAAATCAAGGGGGCAGTGGAAACACACACAATTAGAGGCAAGCCTGTGGTCTTGTGAGCTTATCATCTTAAAAGGGAGGCCAGCCGGGCGCAGTAGCTCATGCCTGTAATCCCAGCACTTTGGGAGGCCGAGGCAGGTGAATCACAAGGTCAAGAGATGGAGACCATCCTGGCTAACATGGTGAAAGCCCGTCTCTACCAAAAATACAAAAAATTAGCTGGGTGTACTGGTGCCCGCCAGTAGTCCTAGCTGCTCAGGAGGCTGAGGAAGGAGAATCGCTTGAACCCGGGAGGCAGAGGTTGCAGTGAGCCAAGATTGCACCACTGAACTCCAGCCTGGCGACAGAGCGAGACTCCGTCTCAAAAACAACAAAAAACAGCAACAACAACAACAACAACAACAAAAAAGGGAGGCCATGTCTTATTCATCATCACATTACCAGCAAGTGTCCAGTGCAGTTCCTAGCCCATGGTAAGCACCAAAGGTTTGCTGAATGAATGAGGGAATATTTTATTGTTCAATAAGGAATATGGGCCAGGCGCGGTGGCTCACGCCTGTAATCCCAGTACACTGGGAGGCCGAGGCAGGCAGATCACCTGAGGTCAGGAGTTCAAAGACCAGGCCTGGCCAACATGGTGAAACCCCATCTCTACTAAAAATACAAAAATTAGCTAGGCATGGTGGCAGGTGCCTATAATCCCAGCTGCTTGGGAGGCTGAGGCAGGAGAATCGCCTGAACCCAGGAGGCAGAGGTTGCAGTGAGTCAAGATTGCACCACTGAAATCCAGCCTAGGTGACAGAGCAAGATTCCGTCTCAAAAAAAAAAAAAAAAAGAATGTGACCTATCAGGAAAATTTACCAAACTGGAGTTCTCTGTGTAGATGGGAGAATTGACAAGAGAATACCTACTATGGAGTTCAAGAAGTCAGACTAGAAAACCACTAAAATAATTTCTAACTCATAGTGTCTGAAAACTAATCTCATTAGAGATTAGTGTCTAATGGAAGAACTGATTTTTAGCAATATTGAAAACGAGTATATGTTTGCTCATATAGTCAACTATCAATTATCTCCATAGAGGTGTTCTGTGCCTTTTGAAAATACTGCTGGCCCACAGGTTTTAACCCTGACTTCTTCATCCCAAGGAAAGCCTTTACTATAATTCACCTCATGGGAAGTTTTTGGCTTTTTAAGACCCTATTTCTTAATTCTAGAATAACAAAAAGACAGGGCATAATGATTTGGGGAGAAAAAAGGAACAAGACTTCCTGTTTTTACCTAAAAATGTTAGGGAAGTAAAGGAAGCTGATCAAAAATACAGTTACTGACTACATATTGATAAATACTGTAGGTTTCACTGCATGCCAACTCCAACCCCAAATGCATGGGTTACAAACTGAGATGAAAAAATAGGTATCTGTACATGCATTCAAAATGAAAACAGAGCCATTTTGCAGTAATCTAGCAACTCCTCTAATGACATCCAAGTTTAGAAATTCCAAGTGTTCAACTTCTTTATTGCTTCTGATATAGTAAAGCCTGCTGGACAAGGCTACACTTTGCAAACCTGAATTAGAAGAGCATGCAGAGTCTGAGGCCAGGCCATCTCAGTGACCAAAGGGAGTGAAGTAACTGGTTCACTTCCCATGAATATAAAAGGTGCCATGAGATAAAGGACAAGAGTTAGCTTGGGGTTCTTGTCCCAGCTTCACCAATACTTGCAGTGTGATCTTGCACCTGTCTCACAACTGCCTTAGGGTTTCGATTTCCTCCTCCATAAATTGAGAAAGTAAGTTGGATATGGTAAAGTCAAAGGTCCCACTCAGGAATGATTTCTTAAGAAAATGGAAGATTTCAATAAGTAAATGTAACTTATCTAAAGCCAAGTTTATACATAAAAAATTTTTAATTTAGGGCTTTTTCATTACAGACTACCCTAAAATGTTTTAAAACCTGAAATTAAGACTTAAAAGTAGATTCTAAGAATAAATCCAAGTCTTTGTGCACAAAGCCTTATAAAATTGTACCCATCTTAAACCTGTTGTAAGAAGATATACATGGCTGGGCGCAGTGGCTCATGCCTGTCAATCCCAGCACTTTGGGAGGCCGAGGCAGGCAGATCACCTGAGGTTGGGAGTTCAAGACCAGCCTGACCAACATGGAGAAACCCCGTCTCTACTAAAAACACAAAAAAATTAGCCTGGCATGGTGGCATGCACCTGTAATCCCAGTTACTCGGAAGGCTGAGGCAGGAGAATTGCTTGAACCTGGGAGGCAGGGATTGCGGTGAGCCAAGATCGCACCATTGCACTCCGGCCTGGGCAACGAGAGCAAAACTCTGTCTCAAAAAAAAACAAAAAAAGATGTACATGGCAGCATTAGTACCATCATATAAATGTTCTGAAGAAATTAATAAAACGGGAAAATGGCTGCAATTTATTATTAAATTTAAAAATCAAGGCTGGGTGCGTTGGCTCATATCTGTAATCCCAGCACTTTGGGAGGCCAAAGTGGGTGGATTGCTTGAGCCCAGGAGTTCAAGGCCAGCCTGGACAATATAGCAAGACCCCATCTCTACAAAAAAATACAAAAAATTAGCCAGGCATGGTGGTGCACACCTGCAGTCCCAGCTACTTAGGAGGCTAAGGTGGGAGGATCACTTGAGCCCAGGAGACAGAGGTTGCAGTAAGCCAAGATCGCACCACTGCATTACAGCCTGGGTGACAGAGTGAGACCCTGTCTCAAAAAGAAAAAAAAACATAATGGAGAAAAGCTTATAGAGTAAGTATGTGAAGAAAAAAAATACTTAGCTACAGCTATACAATATGTTCACGTTTTAAGCTAAGTATTACTTCAAATGTGTCAGAAAGTTAAAAAAACTTTATAAAGTAAAAAAGTTACAGTAAGCTGAGATTATCGAAGAAATAAAAATTTTTAAAACAAATTTAGTGTAGCCTAAGTGTACAGTGTTTATAAGGTCTACAGTAGTACACAGTAATATCGTAGGCCTTCACATTCACTCACCACTCATTCACTGACTCACTCAGCAGCTTCCAGTCCTGTAAGGCCCATTCATGCTAAGTGCCTTATATAAGTGTACCACCTTTTTTTTTTTTTTTTTTTTTTTTTTTGAGAGAGTCTTGCTCTGTTGTCCAGGATGGAGTGCAGTGGTGCGATCTCGGCTCACTGCAATCTCTGCCTCCTGGGTTCAAGCGACTTTCCTGCCTCAGCCTCCTGAGTAGCTGCGATTACAGGCATGTGCCACTATACCCGCCTAATTTTTGTATTTTTAAGTAGAAATGGGGTCTCACCATGTTGGCAAGGCTGGTCTTGAACTTACGACCTCAGGTGGTTTGCCCGCCTCAGCCGCCCAAAGTGCTGGGATTACAGGCATGAGCCACCATGCCCAGCCCATTTTTTATCTTTTATACTGTATTTTTATTATACTTTTTCTATGTTTAGATACACAAATACCTGCCAAGCACGGTAGCTCATGCCTGTAATCTCAGCATTTTGAGAGGCTAAGGCAGGAGTATCCTCTGAGCCCAGGAGTTCAAGACCACTTGGACAACATGGGGAGACCTTGTCTCTTTTTTAAAAATTTTAAAAATCGGCCAGGCATGGTGGCATACATCTATAGCCCCAGCTACTCAGGAGGCTAAGGTGGGAGGATCACTTGAGTCCAAAAGTTTGAGGCTGCAGTGAGGCTGCCACTGCACTCCAGCCTGGGCAACAGAGCAAGACCCTGGCTCTAAAAATAATTAAATTAAAAAAAATTTTAAAAACACTATCTAAAAAAAAGAAAAAGATACTTGAGGAAAAAAATTTGCAATGCACATGAGAGGTCAAAATTTAACATTCAAACTTATTAAAAAGTTCTTTTAAGTAATAATTTAACTTCTAAAACCAAAATAGAGATATAGGCAACAAACATGAAAAATTCACAGAAGAGGACATTCAAATGTCCAAAACATACTAGGGAGAAATAAAGAGTAACAAATAATAAATGAAGTAAGTTTAAACTAAAATACCAATAAAATACCACCTCTCACAGTCAGATTGATGAATGCACCACAAAGCACTCTCACATGCTCCTTATGAAATAAAAATCTGACCACAAGGCAGGGTAAAGTAGTGCATGCCTATAATCCCAGCCACTCAGGGATTTTTTAATTACAAAATTTCATCACATTTTCCTGGAGGGCAATTTAACAATATTTATCGTGAGCTTTTAAAAGTTAATCGTGTAATATTATGAACTACTGAGACATGAAACATAGATGAATCCCAAAAACATAACGCTTAGGGAAAGAAGTCTTATATAAAAGTACATACACTGGGCGTGGTAGCTCACACCTGTAATCCCAACACTTTGGGAAGCTGAGGCAGGAGGACTGCTTGAGCCCAGGAGTTTGAGACCAGCCTGAGCAATATAATGAGACCCTGTCTCTACAAAAAAAATTTTTTTAATTAGCCAGGAGTGGTGGTGCGTACCTGTAGTCCCAGCTACCCAGGAGGTTGAGGTGGGAGGAGGATCAGTTGAGCCAGGGAAGTCAAGGCTGCAGTTAACTATGATCACAGCACTGCACTCCAGTCTAGGCAACAGAGGGAGACCCTGCCTCAGAAAAAAAAAAAAAGGTACATACTGTGTAACTCCACTTATATTAAAATTAGAACAGGCAAAACTAATCTGTGGTAAGAAAAAAATCAGAAGGGTGGTTGCAAGAAGAGATTGTCCAATAAGGAGCATAATGAAACTTTCTGGAATGAAAATAATGTTCTATAACTTCATAGAGGTTTGGATTACGCAGATATATGTATGCGTTTGTCAAAACTCAGCAAATATACACTAAATATTTGTGCATTTCACTGTGTGTAAATGTTGCTTCAAAAGGAAAAAACCTAAGCAAATATCAAATTCATGCTGAAATATTTAAGGGGAAGTATAGTATACTAACATTTACAATTGCTTTTTCTCTCTTTTTTTTTTTTGAGACAGAGTTTCGCCCTTGTTGCCCAGGCTGGAGTGCAATGGTGTGATCTCAGCTCACTGCAGCCTCTGCCTCCTGGGTTCAAGCGATTCTCCTGCCTCAGCCTCTAGTAGCTAGGATTATAGGCACCTGCCACCATGCCCAGCTAATTTTTTGTATTTTTAGTAGAGACAGGGTTTCACCATGTTGGTCAGGTCTTGAACTCCTGACCTCAGGTGATCCACCTGCCTCAGCCTCCCAAAGTGCTGGGATTACAGGCGTGAGCCACCGCTCCCGTCCTCACTTGCAATTACTTTAAAATATATCAAAGAAAAAGGAGTATGATAGGTAGAAGAATGGATACATGGATATATGTGATAAAGCAAGTACAGTAAAATGCTAATGTAAAATACAGGCATTGGGTACACAGGGGTACCCTGTGAAAAATCCTTCAAGATTGCTGTATTTTGAGATTTTTCATAAAATGTTAAAAATACTAAAAAACAGTAAACAGCCACAAGGCAGCCTTCTGGAATGCTGGAAATGTTCTGTCTTGATTTGGCTGGTGATTACATGGGAGCATGAGGAAAATTCATCAAGCTGTACACTTAGGGATTTTGTACACCTTGGCTGATTACATTTATAACTCAATAAAAAGTGTTTTTAATACAGCAATCAGAATAGGACTTTAAAGTGAGTGTAATTAATATCCTCAAAGAGATAAGGAAGTATGCTGCAACCATAAAACATGAATAAGCAATTAAGAAAAAAGAGCAAACCATAGACTGAAGACAAAAACTCAAATTTAAAAACTCAGTGGGCTAAAGAGCTGAGTAGACCTTGAGGAATGAATTCGTGACTTAAAATATTGAGCTAAAAAATCCTCCCAGAAGATAGCACAGAGAGGGGAAGTAAAAGAAAAGTGAAGAGACACGGAGGACAGATCAAGATGCGTCTCAATCTATCTTTTGGAGGGAGCTGCAGAAGAGAAAATGAGAAAACTTAAGGGGACAACATTTAAATAAATAATAGTTAAATGTTTCCTAGAACTAAAAAACAAAACTGCTTAAAAAATATTTTTGTTTTTTGCTTTTTAAGAGACAGGGTCTCACTCTGTCACCCAGGTTGGAGTGCAGTGGCACAATCATAGCTCACTGCAACCTCAAACTCCCAGCCTCAAGCAATCCTCCCACCTCAGTCTAAGTAGCTGGGATTACAGGTGTGCACCACCATGCCCAGCTAATTTATTTATTATTATTTTTTTTTATAGAGAATGGGGGTCTTACTATGTTTCCCAAGCTGTTCTCAAACTCCTGGCCTCACGTGATTCTCCCATCTTGTCCTCCCAAAAGTGCTGGGATTTACAGGCATGAGCCACTACGCCCAGCCCAAAAAAGTTTTTAATTATAGTTATTTAAAGCAATCTACATGGATGGAAGGAAACACACCACCATTTTAAGAGACATTATCTCCTGACTGTGCAATTTAAGTGATTGTACAATTTAAGTGATCCTTGTTCTTTTTTTTTTTTTTTTTTTTTTTGAGATGGAGTCTCGCTCTGTCGCCCAGGCTGGACTGCAGTGGCGCGATTTCGGCTCACTACAAACTCTGCCTCCTGGGTTCATGCCATTCTCCTGCCTCAGCCTCCCAAGTAGCTGGGACTACAGGCACCTGCCACCACACCCGGCTAATTTTTTGTATTTTTAGAAGAGACGGGGTTTCACCGTGTTAGCCAGGATGGTCTTGATCTCCTGACCTTGTGATCCGCCCGCCTTGGCCTCCCAAAGTGCTGGGATTACAGGCATGAGCCACCACGCCCAGCCGATCCTTGTTCTTTTCTATATGTTTCAAGTTTTCTACAATGAATATGACTTTTACAATCAGGAAAAGTAAAAGTTTATTTTTATAAGATGAACTCAGAACCAAAAGACAAGAAAGGTTTTTTAAAAACTCCCTAAATTCGCTTTCCTGTGACTTCTCCCTTATGCTATTACAGTGAACCTGTTTCTGTAAGTGGTCACCACAAACTTGAACAAGTCATTCAATCTCTGAATTTCTGCTTCTTTAGGCCTTAAACAGGGAAAATAAAATCCCTCCTTTCCACCTCCCCATGGTTTGGGGAACATCAAATGAGATGAGGTACAAAAATAGCATTTGGTAAACCATAAAGCACTGTACAAATTGTGGCATGTTATCACAGTCCTTCTAAGCTGGTAAACCCCAACCTCTGAGTCACCCTCCACTCTCCGCCCTTTCACTCACCAAGTCCAATTTGTCACTAGTCAGTTTTTCCTTCTCTCATTCCCTCCTCTCCCAAACTACTGCACTAAGTTAGTCATACCTGGTCATACCTTGTGCCTGAACCACTGCAATAGGTCCTGCATAGTGCCCCACCTCTAGCTGTCCCTCACCCCACCTACTGCAATTTTTGCCTGAAACCTAATCTTCATGAAACATGTTTATCCTTTGACTACCCCGCTGAAAATGAAATGCCTTTGGGAGTTCTCTGAGGTTTATAGGATGGACTTCAAACTCCTCAACCTGGCTTTTAGACCTCCCGTCCTATCTCTGGTCAGCCTCCTCATAATTGGAACATGCACCCAACCCCCGTACCCTTCCTTCCCCTTATCCAGAGATATATTTTCCACTTATCCACATCCTCCCAGTCTTTTAAGCCCAGGTCAAACCTCTCCCTCCTTTCCTCTTTCTATACCTTATGACCAATCCAGACCAAGCTCTTGCCTCCACAATCCATCCCCCAAGGTGCCATCATCACTTCCAGGTCAGAGACCTACCCCACCTTTCCAGAAAGGACTAATTGTTCCCTGAGAGCAGGGCCTGTTATCCTCCTACAGCCTCTATATTAGGCACTCAAATTAACATGCTAAACATTTAAGTCCTTAAAATAAACTTTATTTGCCTGAACTGATTTTATGGTAAGTTTTAACACCTATGTGTGTATTACTATATATTGTTTAGCTATTAATCTTTTTTTTGTTGTTAGAGATGGGGTCTTGCTATGTTGTCCAGGCTGATCTCAAACTCCTGGCCTCAAGTAATCCTCCTGCCTCGGCCTCCCAAAGTGCTGGGATTACAGGTGTGAGCCACCACTCCCAGCCTATCAATCTTTAAATAAAAAGAATCATAACTTACAGATTTTTTGATGGCTTCTTCTTTCTCTCCACTGAGATTTATCAAAGTTAATATCTAAAACTATAATCCATTTTTCACAGCTGTGAAGTATTCCTTTCTTTGAACATATCATAACTTTTTTATCCATTATGTTGTTAATGGACATTTGGGTTTTACAGGAAAGTTTGGAATTAAAAGTAATGCTGCTCTGAAAATTCTCGTACATGTTTCCAGTAAAGATATATAAGAGTTTCTAGAAGAGAAGCTGCTATGTCACAGGGTCACATATTCAACTCTACCTGGCAATGACAATGGGTTTTTCCCTAGTAGTTGAACTAATTTACACCTCTACTTAATGTTGAGCAGTTCCTCAAAATACTGCCAACCTTTTAAATGTCTGCCAATTTGATGAGTATAAAATGTTATTTCATTGTGGGTTTAATTTGCATTTCCCCAATGAGGTTGAAAACCTTTTCATATAGTTATTAGCTATTTGGTTTCCTCTTAGTGCTGTGCCTGTCCCAACCTTTTCCAATTTTTCAACTGGGCGGTTGTTTTCTTATTGACTTTTAGGACCTCTCTGAATACTAATCCTTTATTGGTACTATGCATTGCAAATGTCTTCTTCCAGTCTGCCGCTTTCCTTTTCACTCTCTTTTGATGAGAAGTTCTTTATTTTAACGTAGTTGAATTTATCAACCATTTCCTTTATGTAAATGCCTTGTGTAACTTGCTTAATCAGTCCTTCCCTACCCAGAGGTCATAATGTTTATATTTCCTTTTAATAAAAAAGTATTAAAATAAAAACTTTAAAAAGACAGCAATACAGTAAATGAACAACAAGCACACGGAAAAAGTACTCAAAATCATCAGCCATCAAGGAAATACAAATCAAAACCACAATGAGATACCACTACACACCCACCAGAATGGCTAAAATTAAAATACTGATTAACACCAAATGATGGGAAGGATGTAGAGCAACTGAACTTTTATTATACATTGTTGGCATGAGTGTAATATTGGATAACTATTTTGGGAAAAGGTCAAGCAGTTTCTTAAAAAGCTACACATATACCTATCCTATGACCCAGCAATTTCACCTCTTGGTATTTAACCAAGGGGAATGAAAGCACATGTCCACAAAATAATGTGTACTAGAATATTCATAGTAGCTTTAGTCATAATAGCCAAAAATTAGAAACAGCCCTAGTATCCAATAACAAAAGAATAGATAAGTGAACTGTGGTTTCTTCATGTAACAGACTACTTTAATTAGAAAAAAGAACAAACTACTGACTCGTGCAGCATAGAAGAATCTCAAAAACATTATGCTGAGTGAAATAAGCCTTATAAAAAAAGAATAGACTGTAAGGTTCTATTTACATGAAATCTAGAATAGGCAAAAATAATTTATAATGGAAAAAATTCAGAACAGTGGTTGCTGGTGGCTGGGGGTAAGAATGGAAAGGGAGCACAATAGAACTTTTGGGGGTGATTATAATATTGTGTAATTCTGTATCTTGACAGAGATTCATAGTACATAGACATATACATTTGTCATATCTCACAAATGGTACACATAAAATTTACACATTTTACTTTATGGCATTTCACATTTAAAAATGTAAACTTTGAATTTATTTAATTTTGAATTAATTTTTTTTTGAGATGAGGTCTTGCTATATTGCCCAGGCTGGTCTCGAACACCTGGGCTCGAGCAATCCTTCTGCCTCAGCTCCTGAGTAGATGGGACTACAGGTGTGTGTTACCATGCCCAAAGTTCAAATTTTGCGCTCTAGTACTTGATATACATACTGCAATATTTAGGGGTTGAGTATACTGATGTGTGGAACTTACTTTGAAATGAATCCAAAAATAAAATGGGTTGATGGATGGATAAAGGAGTGGACAGATATAAGACAAATATAGAAAACTGTTAACTGCAGAATCCAGATGGCAGGCATATGAGTGCATAATTCTCTCAACTTTGCTCTATGAAAATTTTCACAAAATATTGGAGAAAAACTATATTAAAAATGAGATCTGCGTTAAAAAATAGATATATTTGAACCAAGTTTGCCTTTGAGAAAGGTTCTCATAAGAAAATGGTCAATCCTTACATGCGATAGTGTCTTGGAGTTTACAAAACACTTTCACACAGATTATTTTTAGTTATCCTTACCAGAACCCAGGTATTCTAGCTTCACTCTGTACTTGAGAAAACTCAGGATCAGGAGTTGCCAAGTATCACATAGCCAAAGCCTGATGGAGCTGGACCCAAAACACACATCTTCTGGCTCCTCCTCCTATAGTCTTTTAACACCTCACTAGGGAGCTGCCATCAACACCAAACCTTTGCAGACAACCTGGGAACTGCTGATGTGCCACCAGCGCTTTGGGTTATCCTATAAGCAGAGTAAGAGGAAGTGAAGCAGCTCCTGTACTCCCTAATAGGACATGAAAGGGAGAAGGCAAGCAGTGAAAGAGGATGAATTCAAAACAGCAAAGGTCTATTTCCAACCAATACAGAATAAAAGCACTGGCAAAGCCCCCCATCCCAAATTATTGGAGGTCACCCTCAAAGTTCTGGGAAATCTGCAACATCCTTCCTGTGTGGATGGGCAAACTACACATGGTGCCTGTAGCTAAGACATGCAATATAAACTTGTCAAAACAGCTCTCTGACATGATACTCTACCACTCTTTACCACACAGAGCAGAACAAAAGTAGAACAGAAGGAGGGGACTCAGGAACATTGCTTAACCCTAACTCAGACAAAATTGGAGGCAAAAGCTTTACTAATCACCCCACAGATTAATCACTGGCTTAAGGGTATTTTAGCTTTCTGTTAAAACACAGAATACACCCCAACAACTTTTGTTAAATCTAAACAAGGTGAGATAGACTCGTGGAACATGAATAAAAGCCCTTTCAGCCTTAGAGACTGGTGTACTTATCCAAATATTTACCAAGTGTGCCAAGCACTTTGGGAACTATAAGGAAACTAGGACACAGTGCTTGCCCTCAAGCAGCATATAATCCAGCAGAAGGCTGAAGACAGAAATCCTAGGCTCACACGGATACAGGAGCAGGTCCCAAGAGCAGAGAAAAGAGTGCAAGCCAGCCAAGGGCTCAAGGAAGCTTTCAGCTGGGCCTTGACTAACTCCTGAGAAGATAGGTACATGCAGCACTGGTGGGGGAACAGCACTCTAGGCAAAGGGCAATGGAAAGAACCAGCTCCTGGGGAACTCTTGGTAGGGCAGGCTGCCTGAAACCTGAGCAGGAGAAAGGGGAAAGGAAAAAAACTCCCAAGGGATGCCCTCCCAACTCATTTCAGACAGCAAAGAGGGCAGATTCAGAGGGCGTCACAAAATATCTAGCTTCAGGAGTTAACTGGCACAGGGCTGAAGATGACTTCAACTTCCTCAAACACAGGAACCTAAGGTAGAGCTGTAACCAACTTCCACAGTAAGTCGAAACTTAACAAAATCCTGATAATGCAGATTCAAGATGCCTGCTTAAAACCCAGTTGTCCTGTGAAATCTGTAGCTTAGCAGAAGACCAAAGAATGGGAAATGCAATGAACATAGCTAGTTAACAGAGAGCAACAACCTAACAGGTGAGAGCCAGGACCAGTGGATTTGAATCTCAGCTTAAATGTATGACCTCGGACAAGTTTCTAACCTCTGGTGTCTTATCTGCTAAAGGGAAATGATACCTGCCACCTCACAGGGTTGAAAGGATTAAATGAGATAACATCTTTAAAGCATCTAACATGGTGCTTGCAACACAGAGGGCATCCAAGAAATGGTGGCTATTATTAATATGAATAGTTTGCACTCTAAGAACTGCAGAATCCATCACCTCCTACTGCCTCAGTGTACTGAGAAACCAGGATGAAGCCACTAAGCTTGGGTAAGACTGAGGGCTTACTCATGTCCTAAGTACTTATCCCTCTGTTCTTTTTTTTAAAATTTTTTAAAATATTCTGTCCTTTAAGGTTACTCTGGGATGTCTGCCTCACCCTGTGTCCTCACATCATGAACCTTCTCCTATTTAAGAACCAATCCAAGGCCGGGCGCGGTGGCTCACACCTGTAATCCCAGCACTCTGGGAGGCCGAGGTGGGCAGATCACCTGAGATCAGGAGTTCAAAACCAGCCTGACCAATATGGAGAAACCCCATCTCTACTAAATATACAAAAAAAAAATTAGCCGGGCATGGTGGTGCAAGCCTGTAATCCCAGCTACTCGGGAGGCTAAGGCATGCGAATTGCTTCGACCCGGGAGGCGGAGGTTGTGGTAAGCTGAGATCGCACCATTACACTCCAGCCTGGGCAACAAGAGCAAAAAACTGTCTTTAAAAAAAAAAAAAAAAAAAAAAGGAACCAATCCAAATGGGTAAGCTATCCAAGGGAAAACCAGTCATAAGCCACTTCACAGGAAACATTTGCGCCAGAAGGGACCACAGGCCCTATCATAAACCTTACCTCAGCAAGGCGAGGGTCAAAGCTGGTCAGGGACAGGTTTCAGGTAACAGAATTGTGACAATGTCTATCTTAAGAATCACACTTAAAGTTATGGTGGCAATGACAGTAAGTACTAAAAAACATATGCTATAAATGCAAAGTATTTTATGTATGTAAAAGGAATTCAAGAAAATGAATAAAGAAATATCTTTCTATATACTGAAAAGCACAAGAACACAATGAGGGAACTCACAACCCCTGAGCTCTAGAGATAAACTGTAGTCACTTACTATGGCAGCAGAAAGTTTGGTCTCATTTTTCTCAACTACACTTTCAAAGGAAACTTTCAGTAATTCCATATAATCTAGCAAGGGTCAAAGACCCCTACTGGAGGAAAAAAATCAGTCAGGTCACACACAAAGAGAAAATTGCTTTAGTTTAGCCAAATGTAAAATTTTGAGTAATCAGTTGGGCACAGTAACCCACACCTGTAATCCCAGCACTTTGGTAGGCTGAGGCTGGGGGAATCACAGGAGCCCAGGAGTTTGAGCCTAGCCTGGGCAGCACAGCAAGATCTCGTCTCGACAAAAAAAAAGTTTAAAAAACTGGCCATGCATGGTGCGCACCTGTAGTCCCAGTTACTTGGGAGGCTGAGGTGGGGGGATCACTTGAGCCCAGGAGGTCAAGGCTGAGTGAGCCATGGTTGTGCCACTGCACTCCAGCCTGGGTAACAAAGCAAGACGCTGTCTTAAAAAAAAAAAAAAAGTTTTGACTAATCCACTTTGTAAACTAGGAGCAGGCAATAAATTTTATTCCATTCCAAATGTTACTTAAGTAACATTTGGAAACCACTAAACTTTAGTTGACTAAGATGGCAAGAGTGGCCAGTTTTGTGCAGGAAGGTGGGCTAGCAGAAAAAAGCAAGGAGGAAGATGGAAGTGGGACGGGAGGTGATGCAAAGTAAGAGAAAAGAGGTTGAAGGAAGTGAATGACAGAAGCAAAGGGAAACAGAAATGGACCAACTAGAGAATGTCTGAGATTTTAAGTGAGTGCTGACAGCAGTAACACTCGATTAGAGGTTGGCTTGCAGCTGTACTATTATCTATCACCTTAGCTGCACTAATCCTTACATCTTTTATTTATTATTTATTTTTGAGATAGGGTTTCTGTCTGTTGCCCAGGCTGGAGTGCAGGGACGCACTCTCGGCTCACAGCAACCTTGAACTTCTTACCTCAGGTGATCCTCCCACCTCAGCCTCCCAAGTATCTGGGACTAAAGGTGTGCGGTGCCATGCCCAGCTAATTTTTTTTATTTTTTGGTAGAGACAGAGTCTTGAGATGTTGTCCAGGCTGGTCTCAAACTCCTGGGCTCTAGCAATCCTTCTGCCTTGGCCTCCCAAAGTGCTGGGACTATAGACATGAGCCACCGCGCCCAGCCTCTTTAATCTTTCTTTACAGGGAAATCTACTCTGCTCAACAGGGTAGAAATATATTATTCCCTGGGTACAGTGCTCTGAAGAGCAATAACCAGAGATTTCCACAAAACCAAATCCAAACTTTACAGCCTCTACTCTGGTTAAAACTGGCTTCTATTTCTACTTACCTGGCCTGGGTGGATTTTCAACTTGACAGCCTGGTTCACAAAATTCTCTAATTCAACATACGTTTACGGAAGGCCTACTGTGCATCAGGCCTGGGGGATACAGCAGTGAACAAAACAAACATGACTGCCATCTCACAGAGTTGATTAGTTGGGGTGTGGGGAGCATCAATCATTAGCAGTGCAGTGGGTGTTTGCAAAAAGGAAGATAGGGGGTGAGCATAGGGTCTCTAACACTACATGCAAATCTTTCAAGGGCAACTCAAGTCCTGGCTAGGGAAAGTGGAAATGGGGTAAATCCAAAGACTGGCAAGAAAATATTAAAATGTTACAGTTAAGGCTCACTCACACTGATTAAAAATAAACAAAACTCTAAGTGTTCAAACTGAACACAGCATTCATTATCTGTAACCACATAAACTTAAACTCCCGAAAGGAATAAACAGACAGAGGGTATTTTTAGTAATACTTAAATAAGTTCATACAGACAACCCAGCCTAATATATTGCAAGATCTAAAGTACCTTTGGAATCATTAAGAAGCAAATTACATTCGTTGAGTTTTACTGTTAATTATATTTCTTGTACTTTGAATATTGGTATCTCACATAAAGAATCAGGTCTTAACATGTGGCCTGCCTGACATACACCTCAAGAAAAGGGCTCCACAATCAACTAGTTTAGGAAATGATGCACACTCTAAAAACCACTTGGAGACTCACAGATTACTTTCAGAAATTAGGTTCTCTGACAAGCCCTACATAAAAGAACTCTGTTGAACTTAGTCTGAGCCAGTATAGGCCGCATATCTCTTATCCCAAATGCTTGAGACCAGAAGTGTTTTGGATTTTTTTTTTTTGGCTTTTGGAATATCTGCATTATATTTACCAGTTCAGCATCCCTAATCTGAAAATCCAAACTCTGAAATGCTCCATTGAGCACTTCCTTTGAGCATCATGTCAGCACTCAAAACAGACTTTGGAACATTTCTCATTTTCTGATTAGGGATATTCAACCTGTATTTCCCAAAAACTTACCAGACCACGGAACTCTTTTCTCATACAATACTAACAGTCCACATATTGTTCCATAGAACACATGCAGGATACACTTTAACGCAAAGTACATACTGCTTAACCTAAAAATGCAATTAGTTATCAATCTCCCACCCACACTGATAAACTGGTATTTACTAAATGCTGTAGGACTATAAAAGCATCCCCCAATGAATTTCTTGTTGAAATTCACTTAAAGATATGCTGACTTACAGTTTTAATAAGAAATTTTGTAATGAATTAAATTGCATCTTGAGATAATACAAAGAAACTAATTTTATGATTTAATTTTGCTAAATTGCTAGCAGTTTGCCTTCTCTAACATGAATTTCCAGAGCATAGTTAATATCTTAAAATTTAAAAAGATTCATTTTCAAAGAAAAAATATTAGACTAGAAAAAATGCTGACATTTACCTCTGCTCTACTATCTGACATGCCTAAATGCAAATAACTGTAAATGAGATATCAACATGTACAGTTCATGAATAACAAGTATGGGGCTATTATTTCTGTGGTTGTGGTGTTATAATTTATAATTTGACTCCTGCTCTGGAAATACTATTATTTTGAAGTCTACATAGGAGGCTTTATGAAATCAAATTCCAATGACTGAAAAAGTTTCATCAATCAGTTAACAATTTTTTAAGAAATCAGTAAACATTTATTTAGTACCTACTATGTGTATGCCACTGGGTTAGGCACTTTAAGGATGAAAGTATTTTCTGAGCCCCCAACACAAGACAATGGTCTGCCAATACAGAAGAATGGTTGAAGTAAGTACTTAAAAACTCAGGGACCTAACGGCACTGCGATAGCACAAGAGCAAGCTGCTGCTGCACTGGGGAGGCTTACAAGACACCTAGGTGAATTTTAGGACACCCAATCCACCACAAAAAAAGCCTGTAAGACACAAAGGCCCCTCACTATAAAAGGGCTACTTTGGTAATCTGAAATTATCACATTAGTCTGCAAAATGTTAGATTTGGACTGAAAACTTGAAAGCTGTTAAAGTTTCCATATGCACCTGTGTAACACTTTTTTAAAGCCAAGTAGGCTTAACACACAGCTTAACACTGATATTAAGAGCACCTTGAGTTAGTAAGCCTAAACCATCAGAGGTTTCTTTAAAGAATCTATAGGAGAAGGAATTCAATTTCTGATAATCAGAACAAAGTTGAATTTTCACTTAGGGTATGGGAATGGTGGGGAAATCAACTGTTATGCAACACTGAAAAAGACTTTCCCCTTTCGTACAGAAAAAGTATCATGACGACTGCTAGAAATGTAAGACAGAAAGTACATCAAACTATATCCCTCAAACTTCGGAGGTTCAGCAGTTCTCAGCAAGCAAGGAAAAATCAAACAAATTTTGCAAATTACTCTTTCAAAAACTGGTCGTGATGAGAGGGATGACAGCCAACAATCTGCAGCCATGCACGAATTTTGTTGTTGTTGTCTTTTACTGGTTTAACAAAACATAAACCAACGCATGAGTTCCAGCTTTAAATTCTGAAATGAGAGAACTGGAAAGCTGCTGCTGTGTGCCTTAATGATCACGTTTTTCTTTTTCCTTTTTAACTTTCCTTTAGAAAACCTCAACAAAGACTAAGCCCAGAAACTTTGACAAAACATAAGCCAAGGCAACATGCGCTGGAGAAGACACGCAATGTAAAAAAACAAAAAACCCCAGTCACAAAATGTCCCAGTAAGTCGGCTTAATAAAAGATTAACTTTGTTCTGCTGAATGCTTCAAAAATCGCGTTTCACAGTATTTTCTAATTACATATGCTTTAAATACAGTATGTATGCTAATAAACGTGGACCTCAAATACATGTGCAATGAAGCAAAGCTGATGTTCCAGATTACATTCTAGCAGTCCCGAAGAAAATGGTAACCTGCAACTGCATGTGCAAAGCTGACAGAGGGAAAAGAGTGGTGAGGCCAGTCGCCCTTCCCTTTCTACCACAGGAAAAGAACAAAGTTCACACTGATTTAACATTGCAGGGGCGCGCCAGAATATCCTGGGGGTTTCCCTCAAACACCCGCTCTTGGAGAGGAAATTGATGCAAGCGCCTCAGTCAACTTCACATCGGGCCCCGCCGCTCCGGGAGTCGGATGTGTCCAAAAAACCGACGCCGCGACACAGGCGGCGTCCTAATCGCAACCCTAGGAAATCAGGGTCGCGGGACCTGGGTCGGTCCTTCTCTGAACGCTGCCCCGGCAAGGCGGGAGACTGGCGTCAATCAGAACCATCCAAAGCGGGACAAGAGGGCACCGAGGCCGGGTGGGGGGGACCCCGCCCGGCCCCTGCGGGAAAGTTGCTTACTGGCCGGGCCCGAGTTTCGCGGCGGCCCCAGAGTGCCCGGCGCCCCTTACCTTCTTGCCGCTGCCGTCGCGAAGCTCCGACTCCAAGAGGCCGGCGCCGCGGGTCCGGGGCAAGGCGGCCGTCTTCTGGCCCTGCGGGAGGCGCGGCCCGCCGGACGACAGCGGCGGTGCCGCGGGGCTAGGCGCGTCCTCGGCCACCAGGCGCTCGGAAATGTGGATGCTCGGGGCACAGCCCATGCTGGCGGCGGCGCCGCGGACACGCTGGCGGGTAGCCGCGATCCGGTCAGCAAACGGCCCACCCGGCGCCTCCGGGCCGCCGCGGGCGCCGTGTCATCGCCGCCTGGGCGGGCGGCGGCGAGCGCGGATCTCGCGTCAGGAAACGCGGCCGCCCCTTTTATCGCGGTGCGGGCGCTGCGGCGGCGGCGGCTGCGGTGGGAAGGGGGCGCTTAGGCGGGTGGCGTGCCGAGGCCGCCCCTCCGAACATGCCCTTCCTGAGGCAGGAGCCGACGGCCGCCTCTCACATCGCCGGGCTCGCCTCGGCCGCGCTTCCGGGGAAATAGGGGGAGGAGATTTGCGCTCTCCTTACCCAGGAGCGGCTGAGTCCACGCCGCGCGAGCCACGCTGCCCTCGCCGAGCTGCGGCACGACCCCCGGGGGAGGCGAGCTCCCGGCCGCGCCCGGCCCCGCTCCCGCCGCCGCCGCCGCCGCCTCCCCGGCTCCAGACTCCGCCTAGATGTGGACACCCACGCCGCTCCGCCCGCTGGGCCGCCGCCTCGCGGAAAAGCCCCCCCAGGCCGAGTGCCGGTGGGGTACAAGGCTAGCCTTAGACGCTCCCGCTGGCCGGGGTTTAGGCGCGGGGTCCGAGGGAAACCCCTCGGAGCGGCCGGGCCACGTCCGCCAGGGTAGGGAGGGGAGCAGCTCGGCTCCAGCGGGGCCTGGGGCCGCACCGTCGAGAAGCGCAGAAACGGCTGCGCGCACCCAGGAGTTGCTGGCGGTACGGCTCCGGCTCCGGCTCCGTGATCCGGGCCGGGTTTTGCCGGCAGCGTGCCGCGCCGAGCCCCCAGCGGTGACCTCCAGCGGGTGCTGGCGTCAATGCAAAGCAGCTGGGGCGCCCGCCACCTCCTCCGGACGCCGCCCGCAACTGAGCATGCGCGGCGACGACAGGCGGGGCGCCCGACTGGGCTACCCAGAGAAGGAAAGAGACTTGCCCAGGGACACACAGCCACCTCCGTCCCGAGGCCACCAGAAGCCCGACCGCCAAATTCGAATTCCGGCTCCGTAACTTAGCGGCTACTTGACCTCGGTGGGGTCACCAAGTGTGAGCCCTGGAGCTGTTACCCAGAAAAGAGGCCGGTGGAAAGACCTCCTTTGGGGGTAGTGAAAGTCAAACTGGGGCGCCGCGCGCCGGGTCCCGGGTGGGTGGGGCCTGGGCGTCCGCGAGAAGCCGCAGCCCACGTGCGCTCCCTCGCAGGCCAAAACCTGGCGCGCCACGCCTCGGATTACACAGGCGCCGGGGCGGCCGCAAAGCTACAGCACCGGGCAGGCTGCAGGCGCCCGTCCTCCTCTCATTTTAACCAAAGTGCTAGTCGGGCGTCCGAGACCCCAAAGGCAGAGCCAGGGGAAGGGGCGTACGCATTGCAGGCCTGGGGCCCATGAGGACCCCGGACACGCACACAGCCACTAGCTTGCTGTGTGAACTGGGCCAGTCACTTAACTTCTTGGTGGCTGGGGCTCCTCCCCCACCAGCTGGAGGGCGGTGTCTCTGGGCGTCCATCACGTATCCTGTAGCGGGCTGCCTCGGACCCCCGCCAGTCTTCCCGCCCTCCCTGGGCTCCCGGTTTGCGGAGACCCTGGCGCGGTGCAGCCGGCTCCTTCCTGTCCTCTCCGACCGTCCACACCTTTCCTAGCGCGGCCCTGGAGCGACCCTGAGAGGCAGCCGCTCCCGCCTTGGCCCGGCTACTGCAAAGACCCGGAGGCGTGCTGCGGGCTGGATTCCCTGCTGTCGCGCTGGGACTGCAGCACAGGTTCAGGTGCCGGGTCCCCGGAGCCTCGATCTCTGGCCCGAGCAGGGTAACCCGAGAGCACGTTACTGGCGAAACTGCCCCGAACCACTGGCACGTGGCTCTATTACCAAGTTTAAGCCCATTAAGCAATATTAATATTTATGCTTCTCTGCCTTATAAAAGTACTACTGGCTTGGTGAAGATGTCTTAAAAAACAAAGGAAAAGATTTTTAAACATCACTCTTTATTCCGCCTAAATCGTATAATTTTTTTCTGCCTTTGCTCTGCAATTTTAAGAGGTCTTTTTTCCAGGTAGAATCTGGAGCTCTTGTAAATAAAGGATACTTCATGGAGAAAATGCTTGGAACCAACAGAGTTCATGGAAGTTTAAAGCGCGACCTCTCCTCCCCGCCCTGCAGAGAAGTACGGCCTTGACGACTCCCGGCGCTGACCTTGCCGCTTCTGGGGCTCCAAGCAGCTCTAGTCCTCTCGGCCCTCCCCTCCTAGGCAGGACCTCGGCGTCCCGCCTCCCTTGTTGGTCCTTGGGCCATGCACTAAATGAAGGAGTTGGGGACTAGGGCTGGGGGATCAGCTGGCCTGAAAAGCCCCGTGTGCACCGCCCCACACCTTGCTGACTGCCCGGACTGCCTTGTGCTGTCCTGAGCTGGTCACTTACCCTCTCTGTTCCCGGAAAGCTGTAACTAATTTCCAGTTCTGCAATTTTGGGACCCTAGACTTAGAGACCTGGGGCTATGAATGATGCAGAAGCAGATAGGAAAAATAGGAGTCATCTGCCTGCTTCTGGAGTCTCAGCCCACTTTTTCCCATACACAGAACCTCAGCCTGGGACACTCCAGGAAGTCACAGGCTTCCTCTCAGCTCCAACCACCTAACATCAATTCCACCCCACCCCTCCTCCCCTGGCTCTAACCTGCACCTTGAGGTCCCTGAACACTTCTGTACCCTGTGACAGTGGACTGAAAATGGGTCACACTGACAGAAGTAACCCAAACCTCACTGGCGTGTGCCACCCACAAAGTCACCCAAGACTCCCAGGCCCCTGCAAAGAATCCTATCCCTACCAGGTGTCTAGAGGGCTCATGAACAATCCCAGTACTGCTGGAAGGTAGGCTGCCTCCACCACACCAGCCATGTTCAGCCTCACTATTCCGTGGCACAAAGTGGAACACGCTTCACCAGCTGCCCCAATCCATTTTGCCCGGGTATAGGGACCCCCAGCCCGAACTGCTTGACTTCCACAAGACTCAGACTTGTAGCTGAATGTCTGCTTCAATTCTTACTCCAGGACTTGAGCATGAGGTCAATGGGGCTGGGAAAGGAGATAAACCAAAGGACCTAGGCCCAGCCTCCCTCCTACCCCTGTGACTGGCACAGATTTGTGGGTTATAGGTCAGTCCATTCCCAGGAGACTCCTTAGCCCTCATGGCCCCCCTCACCTGTTCATTAAAGGCATGCAGATGCCGGGTCCCTCACAGCTTTGCCTGTCTAAAATCCAAACCTATTCTGCTTCCACACCTCTTCTACTAAACCTGAGCCTCTGTACAGCCAGTTCTCCCTCCTGGCTTGATCTCCGTCTCCACCCAGGGGTCAGCCATTCAAAGACTGTGCCACCTGCACCCAGTTCTTTGTCTTCCTTTCCTTGCCTTCCCCCATTGAACCATGCTGGAGGCAGCCACAAGTGAGAGAGCTCCACACCCTGAGGTCTGAATCCCAGCTCTGCCATCTATTAGACCTTGAGCTCCTGACTTCATCTCTCCCAGCCACTGTCCTCCACTGTAAATCTAGGACTACTATCTACCTCAGAGAGTAAATGGGCTCACTGATGTCAAATGCCTAGAACAACAACTAGGCCCCTGTGCCTTAGCTGCCTTCTCCCGGGTCCATTTAACATCACCTTCCTCCAGTCCTGCCCCCAGACTGCTGAAAACTGGTGGAAAAAATGAAATTACCATGGGGATTAACAGCCCTACAAATCTATGGTATCTGACTTCATGTTCTTTCCTCGAACTTTCAAAATTTTGTATAATATGATTTTTAAGTTTCATTATTTTTAAATTACACATTTTATAATTATACACATGAATACATAATGGAAAAATGGTAAAAAAAAAAAAAAAAAATCCGAAGTAAGCAGAAGTATATAAAGTGTACAGAGGCAAAGGAAAGTCTCTCTTCCTTCCCCACTCCCTTCCTTCCGTAGAGGTAACTATTGTTAACAGTTTGGACTGTATGCTTCCAGACCTGTTTCTACATAAAATATATTACACACACACACACACACACACACACACTTGCACACGCACAGCTATTACAATATTACAGCTACAGTGAACATCCTTGAATGTAACTTTTTCTGTAGGATGAACTAAAAGTGGAATTGCTTGATCTAAAGGTATTTTATCCCCTTCACCCCCTCAGCTCCAGAATGGATGAGGGGAAATGAAAGAGAGAGAGGCCACCAGAAGCTGAGAGACTAAAACGGAGAACTCCCTGGATCCCCTCTCTGCTCCTAGAAAAGGGGGGTCCAGCCATCTCCAGATAAAGGCCTCTCGGTCATCTCCAGATTCATGGGCACCCTTATCTTTATTTCTCTTGGTACTTCCAAGCCTTTAGTAAAGTGTTCTTGAATGTTCCAGCCTTTTTTAGATAAGGGGGGGACCAAGTGACCACCCTTAAGGGAAAACTGTAAGTTTAGAGGGAGCAGCACCTCTGGGGCCAGAATAGTAAAGGAGTAAAACCCCGGGAGGACCCTCGTTCTACCTCCAGAGTTCAGGTGTGCACCTGTATCCATCTCCCTCCAGACCTTGGTTTTTGTAGTTCAGCTGGAGCCCTGGATTAACACCTCAGTATGGACTCCCTTTCTCAAAATGACCTTATTAACTGCCACAGTCTCAGACTTATCTTCCAACAAATGGCTCTGTCCCCAATACTCACCCCGCATGCCCTCTCCTCTTGACTCCACCCTGCTTCCCACCAGGCAAGGGAGTCAAATCCTCTCCCAATTACTGGATAAAGTCCAGGATTCTCAACACTGCTATATTTTTAAATGTCAGAAATCCAATTTCACTGAGCTTAGCAAAGGTAGGTACTTAGGGGCTTAGGGGTTCACCTACCCAAAATACAGGAAGGTCAAGATGAACTCAGCAACATGGACCCAGATGCCACTAGCACTCTCACAGTCCCGACAACTTGACCTTCCTGATGAGGTTTTCTGTGATGATGAAACCAAGGCCTTTGGGATTCCCCACCTTCCACCTTCACAGCCGCATGACTGCACTGTTGGTTTCTACGACAGCAAGGAAGTTTCTTGTCCGAAGTTCTTAATAGGTAGTGTTCTGGGGGGTGTCTGTTCGTACCCTAAGGGCTGGCTTCGTGAGTGTGAAACCTCTGCAGTCACAGGGCCTGTGTCTACAAGGGTCTCACTCTTGGTTTAATGCTCTGAGGCCACCATTTTGATTTTTTTTTCTTAAGACAGAGGTCGCGCTCTGTGACCCATGCTGGAGTGCAGTGGTGTGATCTCAGCTCTCTGTAACCTGTGCCTCCCATGTCAAGCGATTCTCCTGCCTCAGCCTCCTGAGTAGCTGGGATAACAGGCATGTGTGCCATCACGCCCAGCTAATTTTTGTATTTTTAGTAGAGACGGGGTATCACCATACTGGTCAGGCTGGTCTTGAACTCCTGACCTCAGGTGATCCACCCGCCTCGGCCTCCCAGAGTGCTAGGATTACAGGCGTGAGCCACCGTGCCCAGCCAAATTTTTTAAAAAATAGACATGAGGTCTCACTATGTTGTCCAGGCTGGTCTCAAACTCCTGGCCTCAAGCAATCCTCCCACCTCAGCCTCCCAAAGTGCAGGGATTATAGGCGTGAGCCATGGCGCCCTGCCTGAAATTATTAATCATTGGTGAACAAAGGGCCCCCACACACTTCATTTTGCAATGGGTCCCACACGTTATTCAGCTAGTCCTGCCCATCCCTGTCCCCCTAAAAAGCACACCATTTAGGTGCATGTAGAGGAAAGAAGCAGTGTGGGAGTGTGTTGGAGTAATATGGTGGCTCTGGAGAAATTCACAGGATCTGCTCAAGCAAGCCATGTCGTTATCTATTATATAACAAGAGTCCTCTCCCCACTGTGCTCTGGGCCAGCTCAGCCCTGCGTCTCACTCAGCGGGTCCCAGCGGGTAGGCCAGGCCTCAGAGACTATCTCCTCAGGAAACAGGCTGCCCAGGGGCCCAGGGACATGCTGAGGTCCCACAGCTGGATGGGCACAGCCAGGACACCCAAGGTCCTCCAGCTTTTGGCCTTTCCCTGGGGGTCTTCATCCCAGTCTATCCAGCCTCCCAACTGCCCAGCCTGTGGCTTTCAGCCAAATTCCAAAAGAGCACTTGGCTAATGGCCCCTGGGATCCCTGCTGGCCATGTCATTTTAGGGGAGGAGCAAGGGAGAAGCCTGGGGCCTCCTGGCCTGGAGGAGGGGAGCAGTGTGTCAGGACAGCCCCGGATGGGACCTGTGACAGCGATGACACCTGCCAGCCTGATGCTACTGGACTCCCTGCCAGGCACTTGGCACGTGTTAGCTCATTTAACCCTCAACATGTCTGTGGTTACTATTACCTTTGCTGCTCCTCCATACCTCTTAGCTCATTTTACAGATAAAGACACAGGTTGGTTTGTTTTGTTTTGTTTTAGAACCAGAGCTGATGTCCTTAATAAAACACAAAACTCATTCTTTTCAAAGACTCTTAAAAATATAAGGATGCTTCTTTAATAAATGAAGAGCATTTATTTCCAGCTGAGAGCCTCCAAGATACTTAACAATGAAGCACGAAAACACTCCTCAGGGCTGGGACTCGGCAGGTGTACTTTTGAATATCCTAAGAGCAAGAAACACGTTACTGGAACATAACTAATGGAACTAGAAATAAAATGAGGGGCAACAACCATCGCTGCTATTATCTAATGTTGTCGAGATGTTCTGAGAAGTGCAATAAGACATGAGTTAGAAACTGGAACGCAGATGTTGGGGCTGGAGATAACATCATTAGTTGCAGGTGACATGACTTTATGTCAAAGATGCCTGGGAATCAACTCAAAAGTCATTAAGACGAAACAGTTCTTTAAAGTGGCCAGATTTGAAGTAAAAAAGTATGTGTCACTGCTACTGTATTCTAGAAATACTCAATTGGGAAATAAAATAACAAAAATCACAGTAAGTGCTGAGTACTATGTTGGCCCTCATATGGAACCTAAGTCACCCAGGCCTCACCTGGGATTACTGGAGTAGTCAGAACCCATATTTTTCTGGTTCTTCCTCTATCTACTTAACACAGGCCTCCAGCCTCCAACAAGGTTTCACCCTGTTATATCTGGGGGTGTCTAAGGGGAGGTAGTGAGATCACCCCATCACTATCCCTACCCTGATGCCCTGTACCATGTTAATGGCTGAGCCCCAGGCACTGACTCCTGGTATGGGAAATGCTGAGGCCCCAGAAGTTCCTCTGGGTTTCAGGCCTCAGTGGGGAAATAGCACACGTCCAGGGAACCGAGTCTTGGTTTTTCCAAGACCTCCCTCACAATCCCCGACTCCCCAACACACCGAGCATTCCACACTGTCTCCTGCATCCTAAAGCTACACCATTTGTGCCCTGTGTCTTATGGAATCCATATCTGGACAAGGAGCCCAAGACTTTCTCTTGAGGACTCAGACTAACACTTGCACCAGGGTAGGACAGAGCAAAACCTGAGCCCTGCTGGCATCCCCATTCTCCTCCCTCACACAAGACATGCTTCTCCCCCTGCCTTCCACAATCCCACCATAGCTTTGGCTAAAGCTGGAGGTTGCACAGAATCATCCCCATCTACACCTCCCCAAACCCCTGCCAGGTTGGCATTAGCATCGTTACTTGATTGGAGAGGAAATGGAGACAGAGAGGTTAAGTAATTTGTCCTTGGTCATGCAGCAGATGGCAAAGTTGGGTTGCCAACCGTGGCCTGCCTGACACCAAAGCCCAGAATGTCTCCACTGTGCAAGAGCTCCCATGAAAATAAGCTTTGGCAATAAGTTAAATATGGGAAACTGAGGAGCCAAACATCACCGATACTTGAGAAGCAGAAAACGAAATACGATCTACCTCAGAGCAACTGAGGGCTGCTTCATTCCCAGGGTAAATGTGAGGCAAAATGCAAAGCAGCACACTGGTTACCAAAAGTATGTGAGGCTTTTTAAATGTCAGCCGCAACGATCGTGAATCACTCTTTTTAAAGTTCTTAATCCAAAGTGACCCTCCTTTTCTCCCTGGCTCCCCTCCTGATTCAAGTCCCCTCTGCTGGCCTGAATCATTCACTCCAAGTTCTAGGACACAGGCCTGCCAGGTCCCATGGGAAAATTGTCATTCTCTTGTCAGGGGAGATGTGTCCTGTGTGAGCGTCCCCAAGCCTGCTTGAAGAGAAGACTGTGGAGGGGAAGATTCTGACCTTAATGGTGGTGCGGCTGGAAAAGTCAAGGCAGTAGGCTGGGCCTAGACACACCCAGGGTCGCAGATGAATCTCTTAAAATGCGTACTCTTTATTGAATGCCTTTTTCATCACTGAGAATACAGTGATGACAAAACAGCCCCTGACTTCACGGAGCTCATAATCTGGTGCAGGAAGCAGACATCATGCAACTACGCGAGCGTATAATTACAAGATGATGAGTGCTGTGATGTACAGGAAGCTCTGAGTGTGTATCGCAGTAGGGACTGACTTAATCTTGGAGGGTGGAGGGTGGGCACCAAGAGCACTTCCCTGAACTGAGTAAGACATGAGTGGATCACTGTCTGCATGCCCAGCACCCACTCATCCTTCTTAGAACTGTATCTGATTTTTCTTCAACTCATGAGTGGGATATTTAGCATGTGCCGCTTCCCTGGCCATGGCAATTGGCTTGGAGATGGACACATGAGCCAATCTAGAGTTAATGGGTGTTGATGTCAATGGTTGAGCCCCGGATAGAGACATACCTGAAGTCAGAACTAACTATGCTTGGACTTTTAATTTCTGCTTTTGCTTAAGTCACTTTGGGTCTGGTTTTTAGTCTCTTGCAACCAAAAATATCCCGCCTGGACTAGGGGGATAAGTCTGAAGTAATGAGATTAAAAAATAGGGGAAAGAACATTCCAGGCAGAGGTAAAAGAAAGTACAAAGGCCTTGAAATGGGAGGAAGGAGCAGGGCATATTCAGGGACTGAAAGAGGGCCAGGATAGCTAAGAACAGAAAACAAGGGGCTAAGTGGAAAAATGAGGTGGAAGAGGTGGACAAGGCATAAAGTCAGACCATGCAGGGCCTTGTCAGCCATGACAAGGACTTTGGTCCTTAGCCTTGGAGTAATACGAGTCCACACTCAAGCAGACAGGCTCTAAGTGTGAAGGAGGTAGCCCCAGGTCAGAGAGGAGGCTCCTGGGAGGAGTCCATTCATCCTCATCATTGGCTGACAAGAAAAATAACCCCTCCCACAGAAAAAGAGAGATCTATTTTTCAAATGTGTGTATACACCTTTGTGTTTGGTAAATTACGTGGTCATTCAAAGGTGTTATTGAATTCATGGGGGCATTTGTTATTTCACATTTTCTCAGTTGGGAGAATAGAAGCATAGCTACCAATGTAGCTCCGTGGAAATTGGAGAATGTCTTGAAAGTCCAAAGGAGTCTTAGTAAAAGTTCTTTGAAAGCCCTGGCTACCCCTAGAAGGGTACAGTGGGACCCTGATGCAAGGGGGCCTAGGAGCTTGTTGCAAAGGCTGTGGCTAGAAGTATTGAGATTATTGTGAAGGTGATGATGATAATGATGAAGATGGTAATGAACACAATTGCAGCTGACATTTGTTTAGCCCCTTCTAAGATGCTGGACACTGCTAAAGTCCTTTATAATAATTTTCTTCTTGAGCCTTTACAACAATACTCTGAAATGGGTATATCATCATTCCTATTTTATAGATGAGTAAACTAGGTCTTACACCAGGGAGGTGACTTGCCCATGGTCACAGGGTGAAGACCCAAACCCAGGCCTCTCTGAGTCTGAAATCTATGCTATTGATCATCATCTCACATGTTTCTGTTCCACATATGATCTGTTGGGGCCTCAATCCATTTCTTTCCATCCCTTTCCTCCAACCAATTGGTTTTTAATTGGGTCTGGCCAGTGGAAGTACTGAAGAGATGAGAAGGCTGGAGGAAGGGAAAAGCCATTCTGGCTCTGGCAGTGCCAGTGGTTCTGGCTGGATTAGGGGCTGGATTATTGTGTAGGGTGGGGGCAGCCCCTCTAGCAGCTCAGCAATGACATGTATGGGTGCCTGGAATAAAGCAGCTTCCTAATCCCTGGGAAACATCCATGTCTTAGTCCATTTGTATTGCTGTAAAAGAATACCTGAAGCTGGCTAATTTATAAAGAAAAGAGGGCTGGGTGTGGTGGCTCATGCCTGTAATCCCAGCACTTTGGGAAGCTGAGGCGGGATGATTTTGAGCCCAGAAGTTCGACACCAGCCTGGGCAACATGATGAAACCCCGTCTCTATAAAAATACAAAAATTAGCCGGGTATGGAGGCACGTGCCTGGCGTCCCAGCTACTTGAGGGGCTGAAGTGGGAGGATCGCTTGAGCCTGGGAGGTGGAGGTTGCAGTGAGCTGAGATCGTGCCAGTGTACTCCAGCCTGGGTGACAGAGTGACACCCTGTCAAAAAGAAAAGAGAAGAACAAGGGAGGGGAGGGGAGGGGTGGGGTATATTTGGTGTACATTCTGCAGGCTGTACAAGAAGCATGGCACCAGCATCTGGTTCTGGTGAGGGCCACAGGCTGCTTCCTCTCATGGTGGAAGGGGAAGGAGAACCGGTGTGTGCAGATCACATGGTGAGAGAGGGAGTAAAAGAGATGGGGATGGACCAGGCTCTTTTTAACCAGCTCTTGTGAGAACACTCTAATAAAGCAAGAGCTCGCTCATTGAGGATGAGGATGGCACCAACACATTCATGAGGGATCTTTCCCTGTGACTAAAACACCTCCTTTTCAGTCCCACCTCCAACACTGGGGATCAAATTTTGACATGAGGTTTGAGGGGGACAAACATTCAGACTATGGCACCCCTTATCATATTTTTGTTCTCTAGCCCTTTCAACAGCTTTGTAACCAATCCTCTTCATTAAAACTTGAAATATCTCTGTGGTTTCCATTTTCCTGGCTGGCCACTGACTGATACAGTCTCATTGACAGGGATGCCTGATAGGGGTTGCTACTGTCATTTGCAGATGGTATCACTGCCAGCTGCTGCCAGAATAGTTCGCTGAGATCAACAAACAGCAGATAAGGCAGTGATGGCATTTGAACCTGCAGCCGGCCAGGAGAGCACTTGCCCACTGTGCCCTTGAACTTCTCATTGGCATTCCACTGGGGCTGGAGGCATAACAGACGTCAAAGGCTTGAGTCAGCTCTGAAAATTACATCTCAGACTGGCCATGGACTTAAGGTGATTTTATATTTTTTTGTTTTGTTTTGTTTTTTGTTTTTGTTTTTTTTTGTAGATATGAGGTCTCACCATGTTGCTCAGGCTGGTCTAAAACTCCTGGGTTCAAGCAATCCTCCTGCCTCTGCCTCCCAAAGTGTTGGGATTATAGATGTGAGCCATTGTGCCCGACCCTTAAGATGATTTTAGAAGGGAAAGTTTTCACAGAGAATCAGATTCTTAGTTCCATGCTCGAGTTGCTCTAGGCCATAAGCAAAAGGTGAGAACCAAATTTACCCCCGACTGCCACCAAGTCCTGTGGCACTTGACTTGAGGAAATCTCGCTCAAGCTCAGGTCCCCATCTGTGAGGGGAGGAGCTGAGCCGTAAAAGACACAGTTCGTTTTCTGTCCAACCAACATCTATTCCCCCCTCACCTACTTCCCACTTTTCTTCCTGTCCTGTATAGACCCTTCCCATGCACAAAGGGTCAAGGTTGATTGGTTTCAACCAACTGTGGTCACTCCTTTCCACATGTGAGAGATTGGTTAGTCACGGGCATGTGACGCAACCATGGCCAATGAGATGTATGGGGTGGTCTTGGAGGATGGTGTGGAGAGGGGCTTCTGAGAAAGTCTCCTTCCTTCTAAAAAAGAGACTCGAGAAAGATACCTAACCATTTTCTGCCTCTGGAATGACTGGGTGAGAAAGCAATACCTGGAGCTGTTTCAGCCATCCATGAGCAAAGCTGCTAGCACCTGGGGATGGCAGAATGGAAAGATGGAAAGAACTTGCGTCCCTGTCCCAAGTGTAATCACAGAGCTGCTGAAATTCACCAACCCTAGAACCATCCAACATTTGAACTCTTTGCTACTTGGTGTAATACATCTTTGTTGTTTAAGCTATTTCTAGTTAGGTCCTCTGTCACTTGCAGCCAGAAGCATTGTACTTTACATATTAGGCCATTAGTCAAATCCCTCTGTCCTTATTACATGTAACATTTTGTGATTCAACTTCTTCTGTTTTCAAAGAAAGAAATCAAGGCTCGACGAGAGAGAAATAATTGAAGGCTATGCCATACATGTGTGGCATAGCCAGGACCCCTGGGATCCTGCATTCTCTCCCACTACACCCCTTTGCCCAAGCCCTTTACATAGCGATGGAGATTATTGCTAAATAGTTATTGTTTCTAAGAAATGCTTCAGTGTCTCACCCGCCTACAGCTTCTCACAGATACAAAAGATTACAGTATTGGATGAAGATGACCCTGGGTCATTTCCTGCAGCCTGCCCCTCTGCATGTTGTGCTTGGGACCCTGCAGTCTGCCCCCTACATGTGTGCTCTTGGGATCCAGCAAATTACAGAAGTCCGAGTCGGGGGGCAGGGTGCTCCCTTTCCCAGCACATAATTACCAGACCTGGCAGCAATGGTGATGCCAGCATCTGTGGACAACCCAGCCACTGTGCTCCCAGCTGCAGCTGATCCAGAAGATCAGAGAGGGCTGAGTTCACACAGGCTTCTCTTCCTTCTTCAGCGTGAAGGCTTGCCAGGGCCCACATGAAGGCGATGGAGGACTGAGTGAATCCTGATTTTCTGGCCTATCTTTGGTAGGAGACCTGACTTGTATAAATTCGGTGCTCTCCTGGCCCGTGGTGGCAACCTCAGCAATTCTCCTGGTTGCTAGGAATCTCTGCTGGAACTAGTCCAATACCAAAGTTAAGCAGGGAATCAGAAAGGAGAAGGATTCTGTCCTTCCGCAGAGACTCAGCCACAGAGCCAGCTGTAGAAGCTGGCAGAACCAGAGTCATATCATTACTATACAAGCATTTTTCTTTTTCTTTTTAACTAACCATGACCATTTGTGCATATAAAAGCCACATTTTCTCTCCCTTCACAGTGCCTGTTCTTGGATCCTAGAAGACCAGGTCAGGTTTTTCAGGTTCAAAGTGAGTGTCCCAGAGGGTGCCCCAGCTCAGGATCCTCCTTTCCCTCTCCCCTTACCCGGGCTGATGGGCTGGGCTTACTCTCTGGGATCAGTCAGGGGCTTTGGTTGTAAGTCACACAATCTGACTCTGGCTACCTTAACCAAGAAAAAGAACTTTGGGGATGAGATATCAGAATGTTCTCAGTTACAAGTAACATAACAGCAGGACTTCTTACATCACTTAACAAGAAGGCAACAGATCGTTCTCAAGATTGGTTCCACAGCTCAATTAGGTCATTGTGGTAGCAGCCTCCAAGATGGCACCAATGCTGCCTACCTCCTGGTAGCCTTGCCTCCCATGTTAGAAAGTGTTGGCTCATGTAACCAATAGGAGACTGCAGAAGTGACAGCATGTGACTTTCAAGGCTAGGCCATAAAAGACATCGTGGCTTCCACTTTGTTCTCTCCCTTGGGTCACCCATTGTGGAGGAAGCCAGCTGCCATGTCGTGAAGACACTTAAGCAGCTCTAAGGAGAGGCCCATGTAGAGAGGAGCTGAGGCCTCTGTCAACAGCCTTGTGAGTGAGCCATCTTGGAAGTAGATCTTCCAGCCCCAGTCAGGCCTTCAGATGACTGCAGCGTGAGAGACCCTGAGCCAGAACAACCAGCTAAGCCACACCAAACCAGGCATCAGACTGAATTTTTGCATCCCACCCTCACAACACCCATCAAGCAAGCTTTATTATTACCCCATGCTGCAGAAGAGGAAACTGAGGCTCAACCAGGAAGTGGCAGAGATGGGAAACAACAAGTCCTCTCTTCAAGGGTTAGATGGGCCACATGGGTTCTAGCCAGATGAGTTTGGGAGAGATAGCCCAGCCCTGCTTACCTGTACAGGCTTCAGAAATCCCCTAAACTATGCCCCTTGTCCTGGGTGTCTTGGTCCCCAGTGATTCCTCAAGTACAGGGCTCTGCTTGTATCTTCCATACCAACCAACAGTGGACCAGATAGGAAATCCTGACTCCAAGATTCACTAAATCTTAGCCCTTCTTTTGCCCGAGCCTCTGAAGTGCGTCTAGTGCGTCTGTCCCTAACCCTGCCTGCATATTCATTCCCTAGCCTGGCAGCCTACCCTCAGACTCACCCACAAACCCAGACAATTCCTGGGTTGCACAGGTGCACCTGAAGCCAGTATTTCCAGGAACAGTGACACTTTCTTAGAAACAACAGTCACCTGGGACATAATGCAACACCCCAGGGCCTCGTAGGTTCCCTTTCCAAGGTGATGGCCCCCAGAGAGGTCCCTGTAGCAGCAAGTCCCATACGGGGCTGCTACAAGGGACAACGTCTGCTGCCAAGTCTCTCCTAGGGATTTAGGCTGATGCAACTTTTTCTAGGATTTAACTTCCTGTTTCTTTTTGGTTTCTAAGTTCACTATTATGTCTGTGTCTGAATGAATTTGTGCAGTTCATATGTAAATTGGCAAGAAGTGGCAAAATAGCTGGGAGGGGAGGGTCAGAGCATGACAGGGGGTCAGGCCATCACTATTCCTTTAAGAACCAGTGGCTTTCAAATTGTTTTTTAGGAAGGAAACCCTTTTGCTAAAAGAAGCGAGAGCAGGAACCACTCAGGCTGAAGCCTTTGGTGAGGTGGGGGGTAGAAAGTTTACCATAATGTCAGCCACTCATCCCCCAAGGCAGCCCCTGAAGCACCTGTGTGGAAAACAATTTAACTTTTCAGGACTAACACCTGCTCCCCAATGTGCACAAGTAGCAACGTAACAAAGCGGATCTCCAACACCCCAGCATCCTCCAAGGCTTTAGACCTGTTTCTCTATCTGTTAGGATTTGCTGCAGCTGCAGGTCGTAGATAATCCAAAATAACAGAAGCTAAAATGACATAGAAGGGCTGGGTATGGTGGCTCATGCCTATAATCCCAGCTACTCAGGAGGCTGAGGCAGGAGGATCACTTGAAACTAGCAGTTCAAGACCAACCTGGGCAACATAGCAAGACCCCCCATCTCTTAAAAAAAATAAAAATAAAAAACTTAGCTGGGCATGGTGGCATGTTCCTGTAGTCCCAGGTGCTCAAGAGGTTGAGACAGGTGGTGATATGGTTTGGTTGTGTCCCCACCCAAATCTCATCTTGAATTCCCACACGTTGTGGGAGGGACCTGGTGGGAGGTAATTGAATCATGGGGCAGGTCTTTCCTGTGCTGTTCTCGTGATAGTGAATAAGACTCACACGATCTGATGGTTTTAGAAAGGAGTTTCCCTGCACAAGCTCTCTTCTCTTGTCTGCTGCCATGTGAGATGTGCCTTTCACCTTCTGCCATGATTGTGAGGCCTCCCCAGCCATATGAACTGTAAATCCTTTAAACCTCTTTCTTTTGTAAATTGCCCAGTCTCAGGTAAGTCTTTAGCAGCAGCATGAAAACAGACTAATTCAGGTGGATTGCTTGAAACCAGGAGCTCAAGACCAGCCTAGGCAACATAGCAAGACCCCCAGGAGGACTGCTTGAGCCCAGAAATTCGAGGCTGCAGTGACCTGTGATCATGCCATTGCACACACCAGCCTGAGTGACAGAGCAAGACTTTGACTCTAAAGAAAAAATAAATAAGCTGGGCACAGTGGCTCACACCTGTAATCCCAGCACTTTGGGAGGCTGAGGCGGGCAGATCACTTGAGGTCAGGATTTCAAGACCAGCCTGGCCAACATGGTGAAACTAAAAATACAAAAATTAGCTGGGCATGGTGGTGGGCATCTGTAATCCCAGCTACTCAGGAGGCTGAGGCAGAAGAATCGCTTCAACCTGGGAGGTGGAGGTTGCAGGGAGCCAAGACTGCACCACTGCACTTCAGTGTGGGTGACAGAGCAAGACTCTGTCTCAAAAATAAATAAATGAATAAAATTACATTTAAAAAATACCAACAACATAGAAGTTTGTTTTTCTCTCAGATCACTGACACCTAAAGGGATTAATCAGAGATCTAGGCTCAGGACCCCTCTCTATAGAAACAATTTGAGTAACCTAAAATCAATGTGCCTGCACCATTCCAGCAGCCTAATATTTCCCCCCCCTCCCCGCCTCCCTCCAGCTTAACAGCCTAATCTTGTGAGATCCTCAGTATGTGGCTTCCACTTGGGGCTCCACAATGGCCTCTATCACACTTACATTCTAGCCAGAAGGAAAGAGGAAGGGATGGAGAATGTGACCAACTATCCTGGCTTGCCCAGGACCGAGAGATTTCCTAGGATACAGGACTCTTAGTGCTAAAACCAGTAAAGTCTCAGGCAAACCAGGACAAGTTGGTCATCCTAGAAGAAGTGCATGGCCCTCTCTTAGGTATACTTTGGAAGTTATATAGCATGTTGCTTTCATCTCATTGGCCAAAACTTAGTTATGTGCCCCCATCCACCGCAAAGGAGGCCAGGACATGTTGATTTTATTCTGGGTGGCCATATATCCAACTATACACTTATAAGAAAAGAAGGGAAAATGGCTATTGGAATCAACAAGCAGTCTCCAGCCTAAATCCAGAGAGGAGACTTCCATGTATTGCCACCAAAAAACTGCCTTGCAGGTCTGTATTAGTCCATTCTCATACTGCTATGAAGAAATACTTGAGACTGGGTAATTTATAAAGGGAAGAGGTTTAATTGACTCACAGTTCTGCAGGGCTGGGGAGGCCTCAGGAAACTTACAATCATGGCAGAAGGGGAAGCAAACACATTTTTCTGTACATGGTGGGAGGAAGGAGAAGTGCCAAGCAAAGGGGGAAAGGCCCTTTATAAAACCATCAGATTTTGTGAGAACTCACTCAACTCACTATCATGAGAACAGCATGGGGGTAACCACCCCCAATACTCAATTACCTTCCACCAGGTCCCTCCCATGACACGTGGGGTTATGGGAACTATAATTCAAGATGAGATTTGGGTGTGGGGACACAGCCAAACCATATCAAGGTCCAAGCACTGGCATTCCATACTGAGGATCTTCAAAGGCAAGGAAGTCTCAAGCCTTACAGGTAAGACAAAGAGGGAAGCATCAATCATTCCCTCCTGCTCCTATGTTGGCAGTCTGCTTCCAGCTGCAGACGCACTTGCTTTTCCAGCCTCCCTTGCAGCTACAGCATGGGCCTCTGGCTTAATCCCAGGATAGAAAGAAATATCTGCTGGGGCTTCTGTGGAAAGATTCTTCCCATCTAATGAATGCATGGGAGGAAAAGCCTTTTCTACTAGTCATGGCCCTGTCTGGGTGTAATGTCCAGAACTTCAGCAGCCATCTTGTGACCACAAGGGGTCAATCCAAGGATAAAATCAAAATAACAGAGCAGAGAGGTGGCAAGAGCCAGGGTCCCTGGTACCATCATTGATGCCTGGATTAACCCTGGAGCCACTTACCCCTGGAGTTGCTACTATGTGAGATATTAAAAATCTCACATCATGTAAACCATTTTCTATTGAATGCACTGTTACTTGCAATTGATATTGGGTAATGTCAATCATTCTAACCAATAAAGAGCATGTCTCCTACTGAGTGAGAGGAAGGAATAGGTGATCTCTGTGCAGCTGCTCCTGCTGGGAAGATCTGTTGGGGCAATGAGTGCCCTGAAAGGAGTGGGCAATCTTCCTTCAATGTCTTCCTTGCCTCCTTCCCTGTTTCTCTTCTTTTCTTCTTCCTTCCCTCCTTCCTTCCATCCTTCCTTCCCATGCCCTTATCGTTTCCTTCCCCTTCCCTTCCTCCCTCACTAGACATCAAGCCCTAAAGATACTGTTTTAAACAAGATGGACACATTTCCTTCCCCCAGAAGCATACTGACATGTATGAGATAGATGATTAAACAAGACTTCACAAGGTATGACAGGGGCCAAGACAGGAGAATCAGGGTGCTGTGGGAGGTCCAGAACAGACTCCTAACTCAACTTATAAGTTCAGATGGCTTCCTAGAGAAGACAGCCACATTGGGTCCTGAGGGATGAGTAGGAATTAGGTACATGAAAGAAAGGAGTGGTCAAGCGTCTGGAGCAGCCTGTGGAAGAGCCGAGAGGAAGGAGAGTGCAACTCCTTCAAGGGACTGAAAGCAGCTCAGTGAGGCTGGAGCTAGGACAGAGGAGGCGCTGTGCTAGGAAATGGCTAGAGGTGAAATAGGGGGTCATCAGGGGCTGGATCTAAGCATCCTCATGAGCCATGATGAGGAGCTGGCACTTTGCCTGAAAGCACCAACTGGACCATCTGCCTCTTAACCACCCACTTGCTCTGCATGGCTCAGCTGCTGTCCAGGTCTCATCCTGGGTGAACCCCATCATGGACTGGCCTGGTGTACAATGGCTGATAGACAGGCTCGGGGGGGCAGCTGGACCCCAGGTAGGTACCCTCCCTGGCCATGCCAGAGCTGAAGAGAAGCCAGCCCTGTCCCATACTGTGTTGTGGTGTGATGGGCCACTTTGTGAAAGGGTGTCCCACCCTCCGCCACGTGTCCACCACTCGCTATGACTGTAGTCCCTTCCCTGCTTCTGAAACTGGACTCCTGCTTCCCCACCCCTCTATCTAGTGAGGGAATATTCTAACAGCCCATTCTAGCAGGACCTCAGGATGGAAGATTGGAAGCTCCCTGTCCAGGGAAACACAAGTGGATGCCCACTCCTGGGGAGAGGGTGTATAAAGATCCTCAGCTATGGGTCACATGGGGCATCCAGTGGTGGTAGGCACTGCTTGTTGGTGAGCATGAGAGTAAGGGGTGTGGCTAGGGATAGCCCGAGGGATTGCAAGGCTGGAGTGGTTTGGCCTGTTTCTTGATTTTTTCTAATTCAATTTAAATCTGACTCTAAGCCACTATCCCACTGAGCTGGCAAGAAATTCAATCTCAGGCATATCGTTGAGTCTCCCTCCCCCATTCTCAAGATTTTGCCAAGGTCCCAGGGTCTTAGGCAGTGCTGAGGCGTCAGGCTGGCTCCACTGGTCACACTAGCAAATGCAGAACATCCATCATCCCAGCCTTGTGGCACCTCAGGCTTGGTGGCTCTGCTGATTTGGAGTCACCCTTGGAATGTGGGAATTGTGAGGGAGGGGCGAAAGCTCTGTGCTCAGATCCACTCTCCCTGAGTGTACCAGGCAGCCATGTCCTCTAAGGCCTTGTCACCTTTGGACACTGCCTAGAGTCAAGGTTTGAGACCTTTCCTCCCTACCCCCAGCCCTAGTCACACTCTGCCCCTTTCCCTTCTGGGGTAAAAATCTTTTCCTCTCCCTTCTTCCTGCTCTCAAAGGCCCACCCTTGGCCTGGTGCAGTGACTCACATCTGTAATCCCAGCACTAGGAGTTTGAGACCAGCCTGGGCAACATGGTGAAACCCCATCTCTACTAAAAATACAAAACATTGGCCAGGCATGGTGGCATGCACCTATAGTTCCAGCTACTCCAGAGGCTGAGGTGGAAGGATCACCCGAGCCCAGGAGATGGAGGTTGCAGTGAGCCCTGATCATGTCACCATACTCCAGCCTGGGCGACGGAGCAAGACTCTATCTCAAAAAACAAAAAATCATAGGCCCACCCTTTCTTTCTTCTCTTTCCAGGACACCTTACAGAGTCTCTATAAAGAGTCAACGAAGGCTGGGTGCAGTGGCTCACACCTATAATCCTAATACTTTGAGAGGCTGAGAAGGGAAGATCACCTGAGGCCAGGAGTTCGAGACAAGCCTGGGCAACATAGCGAGATCTCTGTCTCTACAAAAAAGAAAAATTAGCCGGGCATGGTGGTGAGCACTTGTAGTCTCAGCTACTCTGGAGGCTTAGGCGGGAGGATCACCTGAGCTCAGGAGTTGGAGGCTTCAGTGAGCTATGATCACACCATTGCACTCCAGCCTGGGTGGCAGAGTGAGACCCTGTCTCTAAAAATAATTAAGAAATTTAAAAAAAAATTTAGGTCAAGATTATTGCAAAAGACAGAAAGACCCACCAACTTCCGATAGCTTTTATGCTCTGACCACCAGAAATACCCAAGGCAAGGAAACACCAAGGGACTCACTCTCTGCTTGAAAGAGCCAGGGGAGGAGCAAATGTAAACCAAATGAGCACAGGGTAACATTTCAATGAATCATCTTGCCCCAGTGGTTTGATGAAGGGCAGTATCTCTGTCGTAGGTGCTGCCGTTGTGAATCCCAAACTCTTCCTGGCTGTCTCACCTAGTTAGTGACTTTACCTGGCATGAGCTTCTCTCACCCAACATCTTGGAGTACTTGGACCACCTTAAACTGCTGCTGTATTAATTAACTGTCATTAAATGATGCTGCCGTAACAGTCTCGGAATCTTAGTGTCTTACGACCATCAAGATTTATCTCTCAGCCAGGCAAAGTGGCTCATACCTGTAATCCCAGCACTTTGGGAAGCCAAGGCAGTAGGATCATTTAAGGCCAGGAGTTCAAGACCAGCCTGGTCAACATAGCAAGACCTCGTCTCTACAAAAAATAAAATAAAATAAAATATTAGCCAGGTGTGACGGCACATACATGTAGTCCCAGCTGCTTGGGAGACTGAGGTAGGAAGATCCCTTGAGCCCAGGAGGTTGAGGCTACAGTGAGCCATGATTATATCACTGTACCCCAGCTTGGGCAACAGAGTGATACCCTGTCTCTAAAAAAAAAAAAAAAAATTCTCTCTCACTCACAGAATGAGTCACCTGAGGTTGCTGCGGCTCTATTCCATGCATTTCTTTATCCTGAAATCCAGGCTGAAAAGAGAAGCCCCTTTCTGAGTCACGCTGTTCTCAAAAGAGGCAGGCTGCTTGGATGGTTCAGAGCACGGCCTTGCATTCAGATAAGGCTAGGCAAAAATGCCTGCATTATCAGAGTTAATGCTTACAACACCCCTACGAGTTCGGAGGTGATATTCTCATTTTACAGATGAGAAACCTGAAATTATCTTGCCCGAGGACACACAGGGATGTGAAGAAGTGGAGCCGGAACTCAACCATGTATGTGTCTGGCTCTAAAGCCCAGGCTTTCCCTCACCCTGCTATTCTGTCCCTGCAAAGCCAATTCAGGATCAGCCAGTTAAACATGCTGAATTGAGAGCACCTGTAGTTAGCACTGTTGTCGCTCAAAACTCCACTAAAAAAAGGGGAAAGAAAGAAAAGATTTATAAAGCAATAAGGACTAAGAGAGTGAGAGCAGCAACAGGAGAGATAAGGAATGTTAACACAGTTTTGGAAGCAGAGCTGATAAAGCTGAACTGTGAAGCTCAGGAACTGGAGGCACCTATTACTGCAAAAGCGAGGGCGAAGGTGGGGCTGAAAACAGGAAGCGGAGTTGAAAGCCTAGAGCCCCAGGCCCACCTGCCCATCACCCACATCCAGGTGGCTCTTTCTTCTCTGACAGGAAACTGGAGTTTTATCCTATGGAGATATTGAATCAGAAAAGCAGGCACAGGCCAGGCACAGTGGATCATGCCTGTAATCCCAGCACTTTGGCCGGCCGAGTCAGGTGGATCGCTTGAGTACAGGGGTTCGAGGCCAGCCTGGGCAACATAGTGCAACCCTGTTTCTACTAAAAATGCAAAAATTAGCCGGGCATGGTGGCACATGCCCATAATCCAAGTTACTTGGGAGGCTGAGGCAGGAGAATCTCTTGAATTCAGCAGGGGCGGAGGTTGCAGTGAGCTGAGATTGCGCCACTGTACTCCAGCCTGGGCGACAGAGCAAGACCTTGTCTCAAAAAAAAAAAAAAAAAAAAAAAAAAAAAAAAAAAAAAAAAAAAAGCAGGCAGGCACAGGGGAGTGGAAAATGTTCTGTATTTTAAAGAAAGATTACGGGAGAGTTTATAAACTGAATGTTCAGCACCACCTCCTCCCTCTTTGTGCCACTGTATTCCTGGAATTTTCTCTACCCTATGTGTGCCCTCTCCAGGCAGGAGACTGGAAGATTCTTCTCTGGAGAAATATCATGACCCCAGAAAATAGATTTATAGGTACTGAAATCCAAGAGTTCCCCCCATTGAAATAGATGGTCTCAGCCCAGTTATCTCACAGTAAGATACACTAGTTGATAAGCCTTATCCCTCCCCAACTCCTCAGTGTTTAAGCAACTCTTCAGGGACTCATTGTTACGTATGAACGTAAAACAAAGGATCACCATAGATTTGAGGACAGAATCTAATATGGAAGACAGAGATCAAAACAAACAAAACAAAAAGGAATGGAGGGTCCAGAGACAATGCACATGGACAAAGAAAAATGCCTTGAAACTATTAATATTCTCAGAGACACAGGAAATGATATTACTCACATGAAACAGGAAGGGCATATTAGAAACAAAGAAAACCCAACCATGAGGAAAGAGCTTTGGAAAGTTAAAATTATGATAGCAGGAAACAAGTTGATAGAAAAGTTGGAAGACAAGCTTAAGGACAATTTTCAGAAAGCAAACAAAATTATAAAGAAAGAACAATAAGAGAAGAGAGGTAAAAAAATTCGAAGATAAATTCGGAGGGTCTAACATTACAAAAAAAAAAGGAGTTTCAGAAAGAGAAAATAGAGAAAATGAAAGAGAGAAAATTAACAAAGAAAGGATATAAAACTTCCCTGACTGGTCATGGTGGCTCATGCCTGTAATCCCAGCACTTTGGAAGACCGAGGTGGGCAGATCACTTGAGGCCAGGAGTTTGAGACCAGCCTGGCCAACATGGCAAAACCCCATCTCTATAAAAAATACAAAAATTAGCTGGGCATGGTGGCAAAGGCCTGTAATCCCAGCTACTTGGGAGGCAGAGGTGGGAGGATCACCTAGGCCTGGGATGGTCGAGGCTGCAATGAGCTGTGATCATGCCACTGCACTCCAGCCTGGGTGACAGAGTGAGACCTCATCTCTTTTTTTTTTTTTTTTTTTTTTGAGATGAAGCCTCACTCTGTCACCCAGGCTGGAGTGCAATGGCGCAATCTCGGCTCACTGCAACCCCCACCTCCTGGGTTCAAACGATTCTCCTGCCTCAGCCTCCCGAGTAGCTAGGACTACAGGTGTGCACCACTCAACCCTGCTAATTTTTGTATTTTTAGTAGAGATGAGGTTTCACCATGTTGGCCAAGCTGGTCTTGAACTCTTGGCCTCAAGTGATCCACCCACCTTAGCCTCTCAAAGTGCTGGGATTACAGGCATGAGCCACCATGCCCAGCAAGACCCCATCTCAAAAAATAAAAATAAAATAAAAAAAATTTTGAGACCATCCTGGGCAACATAATGATATCTCATCTCTATAAAAGAAATTTTAAAATTAACCAGGTTTGGTGGTGCCTTCCTGTAGTCCCAGCTATTTGGGAGGCTGAGGTGGGAGGATGGCTTGAGTCTGAGAGACCAAAGCTTCAGTAAGCTACGGTTGCACCACTGTACTCCAGGCTGGGTAATAGAATGAGACCCTGCCTCAAACAAACAAACAAACAAACAAAAAACTGTAAGAGGAAGTGATTTCCAAACCTAGATTATATTCCCTACTAAGCTATTAACCAAGTGTGATGGTAGAATAAAGACATTTTCAGATATGCAATTTTTCACAAAATTTGATCTCTTGTGTATACTTTCTCAGGTGTTCTACCAAAATGAGGGAATAACCCAAGAAAGAGAAAGACAAGGGTTCCAAAAATAGGACATCCACCCAAGAGAGGTGTAAGCAAGTCCCAGGGTGACAGCTGAGCAGCAGCAGGCCTGAAGAGAACCAGGTGGAATAAGATAACACAGGGTTCCAGAAGGAACATCTCGGGAAAAGAGGGAATCAGATATAGGACCTTATAGAAAATAGCTCTCAGAGCTTGCGGATTTATATATATAAACAATTTTCTCTGGATATAAGACCAATATACAAAAATCAAGTATATTTCTACAATGGGCAATCCAATGACAAAATGAAGAAAACAATTCTGTTTTCTTCAGAAATTCTAAGTACTTAGGAATAAATTTAATAAATGAAGTGCAAGACTTGTACAATGAAAACTACAAAACATTGTTGAAAGAAATTAAAGAAGATCTAAGCAAACGGAGAGGCATCCCATGTTCATGGATCAGAGGACTTAATATTTTAAACTGGATGTACCCCTCAAATTGATCTACATATTCAATGCAATCTCTATCAAAATCTCAGCTGGGTTTTTTGCAGAAATTGATGAGGTGATTTTAAAATTCATATGGAAATGCAAGGGAACTAGAATAGCTTAAACAATCTTTAAAAAGAATAACAAAGATGGAAGACTCATACTTCCTGATTCCAAACCTTCCTACAAAGCTACAGTAATCAAAATAGTGTGGTAGTGGCATGAGGATAGACTACAGATAAATGGAATAGAATTAAGAGCTCAAAAATAAACCCTCATATTATGGTCAATTGATTTTTGACAACGGTGCCAAAACAATTCAATCAGAGAGAATAGTGTTGTCGGCCAGGCATGGTGGCTCATGCCTGTAATCCCAGAAATTTGGGAGGCATAGATGGGTGGATCACTTGAGGCCAGGAGTTTGAGACCAGCCTGGCCAATGTGGCAAAATGCTGTCTTTACTAAAAATACAAAAATTAGCTGGGCGTGGTGGCGTTCGCCTGTACTCCCAGCCACTCAGGAGGCTGAGGCACAAGAATCGCTTGAACCCAGGAGGCAGAGGTTGCAGTGAGTGGAGACTGCGCCACTGCACTCCAGTCTGGGCAACAGAGTGAGACTCTGTCTCAAAAAACAAAACAAAACAAAACAAACAAACAAAAAACTACGTGCAAAAGAATGGAGTTGGGGAATGACTTCTCGGGTGATGACAATATTCTTAAATAGATTCTGGTGATGGGCTGTACAACTAAATATACTAAAAACCATTGAATTTTACACTATAGGGTAATTTTATAGTATATCATTATATGTCAATAAAGTTGTTTAAAAATTAAAAATAATTTTCTTAACAAATTTGGGAAGAAATAATGACAGTTAAAAAGAAATCTAAGCAACAAAAACAAAAAAACAAGGTATATGGATTTGAAAATGCATAAATTTTTCACATTTTAACATTTCTGATATGGAGATGCATCCTACAAACAATGGAGTGTCACAGTTTAGTTGGGAGTGTTCTTTCTTAGTGGTACATAAAAAATGGCACATCTTACTGTCTTAAATTAGAAGAATTATGGTGATATGTTCAGAAGGAACAAGATGTGCAAGAGGCCAGGTGCAGTAGCTCACGTCTGTAATCCCAGCACTTTGGGAGGCCATGGCAGGAAAATTGCTTGAGCTCAGAAGTTTGAAATCAGCCTTAGCAACACAGGAAGACCTTATCTCTATTAAAAAAAAAAAAAAAAAAGTAAAAATTAGTCAGGTGTGGTGGTGTGCGCCTGTAGTCCCAGCTACTCAGGAGGCTGAGGTGGGAGGATCTCTTGAGCCTGGGAGGTTGAGGCTGCAGTGAGCCATGATTGTGCCACTGCACTCCAGCCTGGGTGACAAAGTGAGACCCTGTCGAAAGAAAAAGGAAAGAGAAACAAAGAAAGAAAGAAAGAAAGAAGGAAAGAAAGAAAGAAAGAAAGAAAGGAAGGAAGGAAGAGAAAGAAGGAAGGAAGGAAGGAAGGGAGAGAGAAAAATGCGCAAGATAGGAAATGTAATGATAATATGCTCCATGGCTCACCAATGCACAAGTCTTATAGCCATAATCAGACAGAAACACATTAATGGAATACAGCTTTTTCTGAAAGTTGTATATTACCATGTTGGGAGGAGAAAGGGAGGACAAATGGAATATGGGGTGGTATGAAAGAGTTAATGCTTCATCTTCTGTAATGGGGAGTAAAAAGGCACTATCTAAAATCACTAATTTGAGAAAATAGCAGTATGGATGCATTACTTAGAAATATGGATGTAAGTAACAGAAATGACTGAAAGAGTTTGAAGGGGAGAAGTCAGGGATGGGGAGGGAATTACCGAAATGTTTTCCTGTTATTGTTGCTGATATAACTATGGTACCATTTGACTTTAAAAATCAAGTATCTGTTGTACTTTGATTTGAATGGAAGGGAAAAAGGAAATGTGGAGAGGGAAGGAGGAAGTTGGGGGTTCGCTGTGGATCCTATCCCTTGATCAGGAAGGCTGGGGTCAATGCCCCTACCTCAGGTCCAATGGGAGGGAAAATTGAGCCGCACCTAGGGGGCTGCATTACACAGAGAGTGACTCCTCCTGTCCACAACCCTGATAGGAGTGCAGTGGGATGGTAGAGCCTGCCAGGAGAATATGTTTTCAGATTCTATCCTCCTTCAGAGGCACCGACCTCCCCCACAAAAGGGAGAGGCTCCCAGCAGCAGCCAAAACGAAGCCCTCCTGGGGCTCTGTGCTCTGCAGCCTCGCAGCCAGGGATCCCAGCTGGGGTGGGGTCAGCCACAGTCCCGCTGAACCAAAGAAACCCAGTCTTCCACTGCTCCGTGAGGAACTGCTGTGGAGGCAGCCACCAATGCATCCACCCCACCTGGTGGAAGAAGGGAGACTGCAGCGCGAGTGTTCCAAGAGCTTCTGTATTGGGAAAAATCATGACTTTGCTACTTTACTGATGCAAAGCGTTCCTCAGTTTCATCTTCTTGTATTCCAGATGCTTCACGGTCAGACATCTTTGATTGCTGTTCTGAGGCTCTTCCAGTTATCTGTTGCTATGGAATAAACATCCCAAACCCGTTGCATAAAACCACTACCATCCATTATGCTCTCGGATTCACTGTCTCAGGAATTTAGATGGGCACCAAAGGGGATGGCTTGTCTCAGTTCCATGATGTCTGAGGCCTCAGTGGGGAAGATTCGAATGGCTGTGGGCTGGAACCACCCAGAGGCTTTTTCGCTCGTGTCTGGCACTTGGGCTATGATGACTTGCAGGCTGGGCTCAGCTGGGACAGTTGACCTGGTGCCTACATGTTACTCCTCCAGATGACTTGGGTTCCTCACAGCGTGGCAGCCACAGAGCAGGGAGAACTCTTTCTTTGTGGTGGGTCAGAGTGCTAAGAGTGAGTGTCCCAGCGAACAAGACCAAAACTGCCTGGGCTTTCATGACCCAGCCTCAGAAGTCACATGGCATCATTCCTACCATGCCGTCTTTCTCAAAGCAGTCACAAGCCTGCCCAGATTAACAGGGAGAGGACATAGATCTGACTGCTTCATGGGAGGAGTGTTAGAAAATTTGCAGCCATGTCATAAAAATACCACAATGACTCAGTATTATTAATTAAAATAAAAATAATGTAAAGTATTTTACACATATCATATACCTGTTTACTAGGCAGATCAATGAGGAAGCCAACGTGCTACAATGGTTAAGTATCTGGCATTAAAACCAAACAGAACTGGGTTCAAAACCTGGCTCAGCCGCTGAACTGTGTGCCCTTGAGCAAACCACTTCACTTCTCCACGTCTCAGTTGCCTTGTTGGTAAAATGGGGATAATAATATCTACCTCACATAGTTTGTTTGTTTTTAAGGATTACACGGACAGCATATGCAAATAACTTGTCTCACAATAAGCATTCAGAAAACGTTAGTCCCTTTTTCCCTAAATTATTTCAAGCGCTACATTTCCATTATTTCTATTATCTCAGATTTTTGAAGATATGCTATCATTTGAAATCTTTATAGATAAATGGAAAGAATGGTTGCTTTCATCAGGAAACAACACCCCCGATCTCGTGGGAAACTGCTCCTCCTTCCCTTTCTGTTCAAATAGGAGCTGCCAGCTTCTACCTCCCTGGTCACAGTGATTGCTTCAGGGGTGGGCAGAAGAGCCAGGCCACACTGATCACCCTATCCCATTTTCTAGGCCTCAACAATGGGTCTGGAGGAGGGCACACGTCCCTGACAGATCAATCACATTCTTGGAGGTTTGCTTTCTTTGCCACAACTAGCTATCAGGAAAACAAGCTAATATATGAACCCATGATTTTCTGATGGCCATGGTCCAGTCTTATGGAGAAATCCAATTCAGTAGAAGGAGGTCACAGTGCAGGAAGACACAAACACAACAAAAGCAGGAACTCAGCGGTAGGCAGAGCCCTAGAGTCATGAAGTCCCCAGGCCCAGCTGCCTGCAGCTACACCCTCATCCCTCCTGGTGCCCATACATTCCTCTTCTCCTAAGCTATTTGATTTGTTGTCTGTCATTTGCAACCAAAAGAATCCTAAGTAATATACCCCTCTGATTTATACATTTTTTACAAATGAGGTAAATCATTCATAAACTCCAGTACTTTCACTATTATATTTTTCTACTTTTCTTATTTATTTTTGAAACTGCATCTTGCTCTGTCACCCAGGCTGGAGTGCAGTGGTGTGATCACAGCTCACTGTAGCCTCACATTCCTGAGCTCAAGCAATCCTCCTGTCTCAGACTCCTAGGACTGCAGGTGCTTGTCACCATGCTGGGCTAATTTTTAAATTTTTAGTGGAGACAAGGTCTCGCTATCTTGCCCAGGCCGGTCTTGAACTCATGGGCTCAAAGCAATCTTCCAGCCTCAGTCTCCCAAAGTGCTGGGATTACAGGTGTGAGCCACCTGGCTCAGGCTTTCCACTGTTATAAAGGAATCAATTAATTACAGTGACACACCTCTAAGTGATAAAACCCACCAGCTGTTGAGAGCTCTTGACATGAACTTCCTGAGACTCCTAACAGTTTAAGTCATTGAAGATGATTCACCGAGTTACGGAACTTTTCAGAAGGAGGCCCTGTCTTTTCCATACCAGCCATTAGACTTTCTCACCTCTGGGTTCTGGGCCTACCTGGAGGACCCTGGTCCCAGACTGCAGCATCGGGCCACACTCTGGCTCAGAGCAGCTGACACTGAAATAATGACATGCCCCAGATCCAAAAAGGATTAGAGATTAGAAATATCTGCCCTCTGGGCACTGCCCAAGAAAAGATCCCTTGAAAGCTGTATGCTTTGATGGAGCTTATTTGTCTTCTAATTGATGCGATGGCATTGAAAAGAATAGTTTGGTAATATAAACAATGGACTCCTCTAAAAGTAGAAAAGAATCTTATTGAGGAAGGAAGTTTCAAGGGATAAAAGCAATCTTTTGTTTATAAAGTGAATTTTCTATCTTTAAATAACTTTTCTTTATACTTTATTATTAAAAATTTTTTTTATTTTTTGAGACGGGGTCTCACTCTGTTCTCCAGGCTGGAGTGCAGTGGCACGATCACAGCTCACTGCAGCCTCGACCTCCCAGGAGTGGCTGGGACTACAGACGTGCACCACGACACCTGGCTAATTTTTTTGTATTTTTTTGTAGAGACTTGGTTTCACCATGTTGCCCAGGCTGGTCTCAAACTCCCGGGCTCAAGCGATTCTCCTGCCTCGGCCTCCCAAAGTGCTGGGATTACAGGCGTAAGCCACCGTGCCCGGCGACTTTTCTGTTTTCTTGGAAAAAGAAAAACAGAAGTTTTGCTGGGATAAAAATGTGTCCTTTGTCAGTTGGGGCTGAGTGGAGGAAGTAACCTGCGTGGTGGCATCTCCAGCCTGGTCAGGCTCACTCATGGTCCGTCACTGAAGCACATGGAGTCATTGGATGCAAGGAATTTACTGACGTGTAGGAGAGTGTGTAGCAGCATTTCGTGTGTCCATCTGGTTGGCAGTCTTGATCTGTGGGTTACTGCCTTCTTACTTGTAGATGAGAAATGAGTCCCACCTTGGAAAGATAGGAAAGATGTCTGTATAGAGAGCAGATAGCCACACAGCCTGTGTGAGGATGAGAAAACTGCTCCAAGCAGTCCTTGTGGGATCATCTCTTCCTTGTTCTTTTTTGCTCTCAACATAATTTGCAGTGTTTGGCAGGTGGGAGGGGAGCAGGATGGGGACCTGAGAAGCCTGTCCTTCTTCTAGCTCCTGTTCTAGTTCCTTGCTGTTCTTCAAGGGGAGGGAACACGGATCTTAGTGGGTAGACTGGGCCACACTTACCAGTGGATCAGGTCACTGTGTGTTGAAAGGTTATACACAGCACATGGACCTCTGCCGACTCCTGCTTCTGTAAGCCTGAGGCTGGAAACTGCTGTGAGCCTCCCTTGCCTCGCCTTGCCTTCTGTCTCTGGTGTTTTCCCATCATGAAGCTAAATTGGAAAACTTTGCAGTTTGGCCATCTGGCTCTCTTTCCACTTCCCCTCGGATATGTATCAGGAGTCTCTCTTTTTTCTCTGAAGTCTTGGTGGCCAGTGGGAGGTATGTTTCAGATTTAGACTTTGTCAGAAGGAGCGGGCCCATTTAGGACTCCAGGTGAATGTACCAGCCCCATGTTACCAGAGAACCAGGAGTGCCAGGCAGGGATGATGGGCACTTTGTTAATAATAGCTTGTTCCCATTTGTTCATCAGGATCCCCGCAGGAAAGAGGCAAATCTGCTCCTTCTTGCCACCTATCTTATTCTTCCTGTCTACTAGCAGGCTCATATAAGAGATCCCAAATAATAACATAAAGGAGATAGAAACTTATTCCCCTCTCACATAAAGTTTGTGCTGTCGTGGCAGTCTTGCTCTGCAAAGACATCAGGACCCCAGACTCCTTCTTTTTTTTTTTTTTAATTATTTTTTTTTAAGACAGGGTCTCGCTCTGTCACCTGAGCTGGAGTGCAGTGGGTCATGGCTCACTGTAGCCTCCACCTCCCAGGCTCAAGCCTGTCTCAGCCTCCCAAGCAGCTGGGACTACAGGTGCCCACCACCATTCCCAGCTAATTTTTCTCGAAGGGGTTTCACCATTTTGCCCAGGCTGGTCTCAAACTCCAGGGCTCAAGAGATCTGCCCACCTTGGCCTTCCAAAGTGCTGGGACTACAGAGGCGAGCCACGGCCTCAGGCTCCCTTCAACTTGAAGCTGCTCCATCTCTCGGGTGTTGCCTTTGTCTTCATGGTCCAAGCTTGCTCACCTTCCCATCTGCATTCCAACTAGCATGGAGCAAAAATGTGAAATATACCAAGAACGTGTGGGATGCCCCCATTTATCTAAGGCAGGGGTCAGCAACCACAGCCTGCAGGTTGGCCTCCTGTTTTTGTAAACAGGCTTTATCGGAACACAGCCACTCTGTTTGTCTATGGCTGCTTTCAACTACAAGTGCAGAGTTGAGTAGTCGTAACACGGCAATATGGCCCACGAAAGCTGAAATATTTACTATCTGACCCTTAAGAAAAAGTCAACAGAACCCTCTTCCAAGGGCATGATGGGAGGCTGCCTACTGGACTTCTGCTCACACCCCACTGGCCAGACCATGGCCACCCCTAACCCAGGAAGGTTGAGAAATGTAGTCCTTTTTCTTTTTCTTTTAAGACAGAGTCACTCTTGTCACCCAGGCTGGAGTGCAGTGGTGCTATCAGCTTACTGCAGTCTCAATCTCCCAGGCTCAAGTGATCCTCCCACCTCAACCTCGTGAGTATCTAGGACTGCTTGCACACACCGTCATGCCCAGCTAATTTTTTATTTTTTATGGAGACAGGGTCTCACTATGTTGCACAGGCTGATCTTGAACTCTTCCCACCTCAGCCTCCCAAAGTGTTGGGATTACAGGCCTGAGCTACCGCGCCTAGCTGAGAAATGTAGTTTTTATTGTAAGTGGCCACATGCCCAGCTGGATTGTCAGTTTTTACTAAAAAAAAAAAAAAAAAAAAAAAGGAGACTGGCGACTGGAGGACAGCCAGCTGTCTTTCTACACGGGTCAAGTGTTCTTCAGCCTGATGTTGGTGCCTGATATTTTAAAATTTTGAGTTTATGAATGAGATCCTTGCTATTCACTCATAGCCACGTTGATTTCTTTTGTTGCCTCTGCCTTTCCTTCCTCATTAGGATATTTTGCCCAGCAGAGACAGGGTTCAATCCAAGCGCTGCCTTTCCTTGCAGAGTCTCTTTCCTAAATGGCTTTATTCTCAAGTGTGGGACAATCGCCTGGCTGTGCTGCCTCCCCATCCCTGCCAGTGACAAAGTCTCTGTTGGCAAATTGTCCCCATTCCACCATTCCATATCTTTGTCAGAACTTCATCCAAAGCTGCAGTTTCTCTCACTCAGGAAATGGAAAGCAACCTCCAGGCAAGGTAGGAACTTGTTGCACTCCTTGGTGGTGGGCAATTAGGATACCCCTGTAGATAAGTCCTTCCCACCCCATTCCTGCTGTGTCCTAGAGATAGTGCCTTTATGATCCAGGCCAGGACTTTCTCTCATTCTCTCCTAAATGACAACTGCTCTTCAAATTATACCCTCAACATGCAAGCCCTCGGATTTGAGGATTTCTGAAGCAGGCATGTAGCTTCTTAACACCCTTCCTAAGGCTGGGCACAGTGGCTCAAACCTGTAATCCAAGCACTTTGGGAGGCAGAGATGGGTGAATCACTTGAGGCCAGGAGTTCACGACCAGCCTGGGCAACATAGAGAGAGTCCCCGCCATCTCTAAAAAAAAAAAAAAAAAAAAAAATTAGCCGGGCATGGTGGCACACACCTGTAGTCTCAGCTACTTGGGAGGCTGAGGTGGGAGGCTGAGGTGGGAGGACCCCTTGAGCACAGGAGGTCCAGGCTGCAGCAAGCCAGGATTTTTGCACTACTGCACAGCAGCCCAGGCAACAGAGGCCCCATCTCAAACAAAACAAACAACAAAGCAAAACACCCTTCCTAATAAGTCTGCCTCTTTCAAATATCCTCCTAAGACCATATCCAATCTTTAGTCTCATCACAGCATCTTGGTTCCACCCATGAGATCATATTTACCATGCTGTGTTCTGGCTTCATCTTCGACTTGCTCTTGACTCATGCACTGTCTGCACACAAATTCAGAACAGCTTCGAATCAGGTCTGGAGCAAATTTTGAAACCCTGCTATGTGTTATGTGAGGAACAGCTGAAAGAACTAAGGGTGCCTGGCTCAGAGAAGGGAAGCCTGGATGGGCATCATCTTCAAATACTTGATGGATTGTCATGTGGAAAAGGGATTAAACCATTTCTATAAGTTTTAAGATTTGACTTTTTAAAACTAATGGGCAAGTATTACTTTGGTAAGTAGGAAAAAGGACAACAAAGATATACATATGAGATGAGACCCATTCAGAGTGGCCCAGAATGGCAAAACTGGGATGGATCAAAGCAAAACACTTTTTGATGCAAAATCAAAAAAGAACCTTCTCAGAAGTGGAGCTCTCCAATGTGGAGTAGCAATGAGAGGCGTGAGGTTATTATCTTGATGAGGTTTAAGCAAATGATGAATGACTGCTTGATTTCAAGCAGAATCGGGGGTTAACAAAGTGACTATCCTAGGCAATGTCCTTCTCATTACAAAGAGGAACCTTCTCAATTAGTTTAGGTTAGAGGGGATTTCTGGAAAGAATTTGGCTGTCATGGAATCCAAGGAAAAGCAGAACAACTGGGCTGCAGTAAGGGAGGGAATGAGGTCAGCTCCAAGCCATAGCCCCACCGTGGTGACTCAGCTCCCAGCTCTGTTTCTGGGTTTTATAATTCATATTCCTTCCCAAGAATCCAAAAGGCCATTGGCAAGAGTACAGATTTGGCCTGCCCTGAGTCAGGCATTCAATCCTGGTTCAATAGCAAATCACTCATGGGAATGGAGTCTCATGACTCAAACATAAAAACATGTTGACAGAGGCCATCCATACAGTGGGTATAAACATTCTCAGAAAAGCTGGATGGGGAGGTAGACACCCTCAAAATGATGTTTAAGGTCCTGTCCAACCTCAGGGCTCACTAATCCCAAGTCAAAAGTAATTTCAAGCAGATGATATTCTTCATGTGGTTGCAAAGAGGTCAGGACTAATTAACATTCAGCTGAAGGCATGAGCTTGAATTAAATTGAGGGGGCAGCAGAGGTGAGGGCAGGGCCATGGGAAGAAAGGGGCAGAAGGGGGGTCAATGTAGCCCATTAGTCAACTCACAGACCTTGGCATGTTGCCTATTGGGACATGCATTGTCTAGGACAGAGTTACCCATGGGCTGAATTACAAGTTATACAGCATCTGTGTCCACGCAGTTTTTTTTTCCCCATGCCATTTAAAAAATAAACTATTAAATTTTAGAATAGTTTAGACTTACAAAATGTTGCACCAATACTACCGAGCTCCCATATATCCCACACCCATTTTCCCCTCTTGTTAATAGCTTACACTACTATTTGCTATGGTCTGAATGTTCATGTCTCCTCAAAGTTCATATGCTGAAATCCTAGCCCCCAAGGTGAAGGTATTAGGAGGGGGGGTCTTTGGGAGGTGATAAGGTCATGAGAGTAAAGCCCACATGAATGGGATTAGTGTCCTTATGCAAGAGGCCCCAGGGATCTCATTAGCCTCTTCTGCCATGTGAGGACACAGGGAGAAGGTGCCACCTATGAGAAACTGGCTCTCACCAGGCACAGCATCTTCTAGCACCTTGATTTTGGACTTCCCAGCCTCAAGAGCTGTGAGAAATACATTTCTGTTGTTTATAAGCTATCCCATTTATGGTATTTTGTTATCAGCCAAAACTGACTAAGACAGAAGGGTACAGTGTGAGCCCTATATTCAAGTGGCCTGCAGTCTTCTAGGGAAGGCCACTGGCCACAGAATGAGCGTGCAGGGAGTCCAGAGAAGGGGGTCAAGGGCAGTCCTTGGGCTGTTCCATGACCCAGCTAGTGGAGCTGAGGCCAACATATGGGCAGGGAAGGGGCGGAGGGCCAATCCTGGGAGAGGACTGTGTTGTCCATATCAACAGGGCACCCTGCCCACAGCCCAAGGGCAGCTGGAGCAGGTAGCAAGGACTGAGGGAGGGCTGCAGAGAGAAGGCAAGAGCCTAGCTGGAGCTACAGGAGTCAGGCCAAGCCTCCACTCTGTGGAGCTAAGGGAAGGACACAGGCCCTGAGGATGGGGACCCAGGTCAGCCTGTGGGGCTCACAAGGAGCAAGGCTGCTGCCCACTGGAACCAAAGTCTGTGGCAGAACAGAAACAGGACCTGGCTCACTGGGGCTGAGCTGAATAACTGCTGGCCAGGGCTCCACCCTCCCACTGCCCTAGGTCAGGGTCAGCCCCAGCTAGGAAAGAAGTTGGACCTGGCAGGTAGGGGTGAGGGTGTAGGGCCCCAGCAGCCACAAGGGCAGGGTGCATCGCAGGTCCTGGAAGCCAAAGCTGCTGGGGAAAATGAGAACTGAGATGGGAGCAGGGCAGGCGGCAGGGAGATGGAGAGGGCATGCTGGTGATAGGAACTCCAGAAATGAAGGCAGGGGAGGGACATCGGGCCTCACCTAGTGGCACAGAGGGCTTGGGGTGGGGAGGAAAGGCAGCGAGGGAGGTGAGGGCGGGCCACCCATCAGGGTTCCCTGAACACCAGCAGCCCAACAGAGAGGCCCCACATCGCAGTTTGTGTTATGACCTGAAAATACAGAAGATGCATGAGGAGGGGCTCCCCTCAGATGGGCTCGGGGCACCCCTATACCACCCAGAACTAGGTGGCCTGGCTCAAATCCTGCCTCTGCCTCTTCCCAGCTCTGTCCCTTTAGGCACATAACTTAACCTGTCCGCGACTCCGATTCCTCAACTAGTGACAATAATAACACCTACTGCATGAAGTTGTTGTAAGGATTGAGTTAAAATATATAAAGCGCTGAGAACAGTGCCTGGCACACAGTGCCACATAAGCATTTGCTAACATTACAGTTGCCTAGAGTAAAGCAGTTTGAACATTAGCCAATATTTCCCAAGTTGTATTCCACAAAATCTTCAACTGAGACACTTCCATCAAAAAGGTTCTTATGGGCCAGATACAGTGACTTATGCTTATAATCCCAACACATTGGGAAGCCAAGGTGGGCAGACTACTTGAGTCCAGGAGTCTGAGACTAGCCTGGGCAACATAGCAAGACCTCATCTCTACCAAAAAAAAAAAAAAAAAAAAAATATATATATATATATATATATATATATGAACATACACACACATATATATATATGTATGTATATATATGTGTGTATTTATATATAAATTAGCTGGACATGGTGGTACATGCCTATGATCCTAGCTACTTAGGAGGCTGAGGTGGGAGGATCACTTGAGCCTGAGAGGTTGACGCTGCAGTGAGCCATGATCACCTCACTGTACTCTAGCCTGGGTGACAGAGTGAAAAGGTTTTTATGGTCAAGTAAATGTGGAAAAAACCACCAAGCTCTGACAAGTTCACAGTTAAAAAAACAAAAAAATAAACAAACAAAAGTCTAAACAGCCCTCTCTAAGTTTATTTAACCCAGTGGTTCCAAACCTAGTCCATCATGGAACCCTCTGAACGCCTCCCAGGACAGTGTGCCATGGGACCTCAGTTTGGGAAGCACTCTGAGGAAAGGCGGGAAGGGTTTCTCTGAAAGCAGAGAAAGAGGTGACACCACCCAGCAGGGGAAGCCACAGAGAGATCCTAGTGCCTAGGAAGTGGGGAGGGGAGGAGGCTTTGGTGTGCAGCCCACAACAGAAGGGAAGGGGCATGTGAGGGACCCCAGGAGAGGGGGGATAGAGAGGACCAGGGTGCTGTTTGGATGTGGAGGGGAAACGGGAGGAGGCAGAAGTGACCCTGAGAATTCACACTGGGGGAGTTAGGAAATGGGGGAGCAGGAAGGGGGATGGAGTGGGACATGTCCTTCCTTATGTCCTCACTCACTCTCTGCACACTCACTCCATGAACCCTTCCCAATTGTGGGATTGAGCTGGGTCTAAGTCCTGTGGCTTCCCTGAAGAGGGCTCTGGGAAAGGGAAGGTGGGGACAGATGGTTCCCGGGGGAGAACAGCCCTCAGAAGCGCAGAAGCACAAGCATGTTCTGTCCTCACTGTGCACAGATCGTGTGGTTGTAAAACCGACAGCAGTTGTCCAGGGCCTCTGGGCTGAACTCTGGATTGACGCTAAAAAGAAAGCAAAGATCGCAGTGGGAGCTCCAGGCCTGGTTCTGCGGGCCACCACCAGGCTGTGCAACACCGGGAACACTGTTTCAAGTCTCTGGTCCACCCTTCCTCCATTGGTCCTCGAGCCTTCACCTCCCCATTAGCTGCAGCCGTAACATTTCTACCCTCACCCTGGTACCAAAGGCATCCCCCCCAGCGCTCAGGCATTCTGTCTATCACTGTGGGTGCCCTGCAGGTCCCACAGCCCAGGCCCTCACCTCTGGAAGGCCTCACGGCAGCACTGGTAAATCTCAAAGCTACTGCTGCTGAGGGTCGTGTTCAAGAGGGACATGCAGTCAACTTCAGCCCCCCTGGGCATGTAGAGGATCCCTGTAGAGGGAAAGTGGTGGGTGGGGCAGGGCCCCCGGGCTAGCCAGAAAGTCAGGGTTCCACCTTCTGAGCCTGCCAGGCCTGCACTCACCTGCCATACAGGCGTTCACCAGGGACACACAGGCTCCCGTGAAGAGCGCCCGGAGCACTATCTGGGAGAAGTCGCTCTTCCGTTGGGGGACCATGGAGGCTGCAAGGGGACAGAAGTGCTCAGGGCCTGGGAAGCTGTGTCCCTCTCTGCCCGCGTTCCGCAGCTCGGGCTGCATCTGCTGACCTCCCTTCCTCTTCTATTAATAGATGGCCAGAGGGACAGATGTTGTCCTCCTGACAGCTTGCTGAGCTCAGGAGTTCTCTTTGGCCTGGCTTGGACCCCTAGGCAATGCCCCACATCTCCCTACACACCATGAGTGGCAGATGCAGGAAAAGAATGTGAGTTTGGAGTCAGGCAGACCTGGGATTAAATACAAGCTCAGCCACTCACTAGCTGAGTGACTTGGGCCACCACTTCACTTCATGAAGACTCAGTTTCCTTCTTTGTAAAATGGGGTGATTATACCACCAGGCAGTGTAGCTGCCAGGACTGGAAATGTTATTTGTAAAGAACTGAGAACTGTGCAGACCCTTCGACCTTAGGCCCCACCAGGCCTGCCTGCCTGTCCACTGTGGGTGTGGGAACAGGCAGGCCAAAGCCTTGGGGACAGGCAAGCACCACACCTCCCACCCCTGAGCCAGGCTTGGCCTTCAAGGCCCAGGTGCTAACTTCCTGGGCCACCAGCAGCAGCAGAGAATCGGAATTCTAGGGCTAGGAGGAAACTCTATGAACATCTTTTTCTTTTTTCTTTTTTTTTTTTTGAGACAGAGTCTCGCTCTGTAGCCCAGGCTGGAGTGCAGTGGTGCGATCTCAGCTCATCCTCGTGCCTGGGTTCAGCTTCCTGAGTAGCTGGGATCACAGGCGTGCACCACCACGCCTGGCTAATTTTTGTATTTTTAGTAGAGATAGAGTTTTGCCATGTTGGCCAGGTTGGCCTCAAACTCCTGGCCTCAAATGATCCACCCACCTGGGCCTCCCAAAGTGCTGGGATTACAGGCATGAGCCACCACACCTGGCCTCTATGGCCATCTTGTTTGGGTCCTGCTTTAGACAAATGAGACAACTGAGGCCTACATGTCCCGAGCAAGTTCAAGTCCCAGACTCTCCTAGACACTGGTGAGGCCCTGATTAGACTCACTCAAGCCTCCCAGCATGATCCCAATGGAGCTGAAATTGGCAAATCCACAGAGGGCAAACGTCGTGAGGACTTCAGCTCTGACCTGAAAATACAGAAGATGCATGAGGAGGGGCTCCCCTCAGATGGGCCTGGGGCACCCCTATAACACCCAGGCTCCCTGGCCTTAATTTTACCCACTTCTTACATGTAATTGACCTTTGAGTCCTCTGTGCTGCCGCTTCCCCAGCCTTGCAATCCCACCTCTAAGTTGGCTCAAACTGCACCACATCAAAAACATAGCCCCCCTCTCTTATCTGTCCTTCAACTTTTTTTGTTTCTTTTTTTGTTTTTGTTTTTGTTTGAGACGGAGTTTTACTCTTGTCACCCAGGCTGGAGTGCAGTGGCACAATCTCAGCCCACTGCAACCTGTGCCTCCTGGGTTCAAGCCATTCTCCTGCCTCAGCCTCCCGAGTAGCTGGGATTATAGGTGCCCGCCACCACGCCCGGCTAACTTTTTGTATTTTTAGCGGAGATGGGGTTTCGCCATGTTGGGCAGGCTGGTCTCAAACTCCTGACCTTAGATGATCTGCCCACCTCAGCCTCCCAAAGTGCTGGGATTACAGGTGTGAGCCACCACACCCAGCCTGTCCTTCAACCTTTTAATCTTCATTACCAGCCTTTCTGGATGGGGTTCAGCCTTTGTTAGTCCTGTCGCTTTGGCCCTACTAAGCTCTGTCCTGGGGCCATTTGGTGGACAGCCCCTTCCCTGACCCCGCAGTCCTGGGCTTCCAGTTCACAGCACTCCTGTGAATGCTCTCAGGCTGAGAGAGGGAGTATGGCCCACAGGAAAGAGTAAGGGATTTGGAGCCCAGCCAGCCTGGCTTCTAGGATTGTCTCACCAATGATCAGCTTGAGAAGTCAGTCACTTCTTTCAGTGTCAGTTTTCCTGTCTGGAATAGGGGAATAATAGTAGTTGCCTGGGAGGGCTGTAAAAAGGATTATATAATGTATGGGAAACACCAGGCAGACAGTAAGTGTTCAAACACAATAGTTATTTGCTTTTGTTCTTAACAACTGTCCTATTTCCCAGAAAGAAGTTTTAAGAGCCAAAATGAAATAATTTGAAAACAAAATTGGTTTATGGGTACAAAAAAATAGTTAGAATAAATGAATAAGAGCTAATATTTTATAGCACAACAGGGTGACTATAGTCAGTAATGACTTAATTGTACATTTAAAAATAACTAAGAGTATAATTGGATTGTTTGTAACACAAAGGATAAATGCTCGAGGGGATGGATACCCCATTCTCCATGATGTGCTTATTTCACATTGCATGCCAGTATCAAAGCATCTCATGTACCTCATAAATATTTACACCTACTATATACCCACAAAAATTAAAAATTATTTAAAAAATTGGTATAGAGCCTCCCCTCACACTATATAAAAATTAATTCTAGATAAATATTAATATTTTAAGTATAGAATGATAGAAAATATAGGATAATAAATATAGTTACAAGGTACTATTATTACTCTTATTTTGGAGAGGAGTAAACCGAGGCTCAGAGAGGTTAAGTAACTAAGGAAGTTCACACAGCAAGAAGGTAGCTGTATCAGAATTTGAACTCAGTTCTGACTCCAAAGCTCATGGTCTGAATTATCTCATCACGTTATTTCACGAATTTAACACTTTCCAGATAACTTTCTTTTTCTTTCTTTCCTTTTTTTGAAAACTTCTGCCTCCTGGGTTCAAGCGATTCTCATGCTTCAGCCTCCCAAGTAGCTGGGATTACAGGTGTGTGTTACCACACCTGGCTAAGTTTTCTATTTCCTGTTTGCCATGTTGGCCAGGCTGGTCTCAAACTCCGGGCATCAAGTGACCCACCCTCCTTGGCCTCCCAAAGTGTTGGAATTACAGGCATGAGCCACCGTGCCCAGCCGCACTTTCCAGATAACGTTATAAGTTTAGAAATAACAGAAGAAATCACAAAAGAAAATATTTGGTATAAAATCTATGTTAAAAAAAAAACAAATCCCGGCCGGGTGCAGTGGGTCACGCCTGTAATCCCAGCACTTTGGGAAGCCAAGGTGGGCAGATCACAAGTTCAGGAGACCGAGACCATCCTGGCTAACATGGTGAAACCCCATTTCTACTAAAAATACAAAAAATTAGCCGGGCACAGTGGCGGGTGCCTGTAGTCCCAGCTACTTGGGAGGCTGAGGCAGGAGAATGGCGTGAACCCAGGAGGCAGAGCTTGCAGTGAGCCGAGATCACACCACTGCACTCCAGCCTAGGCAACAGAGCGAGACTCCGTCTCAAAAAAAAAAAACAAATCCCAAATGCTGGGTCAAGTGAGAGCTGACAGGCACTGGGTGACTCTGTGCCTCACTGAGGAAAAATAACTAAACATGGGCAGAAGAGACCCTAAGAAGCCAAGAGGCAAAATGTGATTATATGCACTCCCTGTCCAAGCTTGTTGGGAGGGACACGAGAAGAAGCACCCAGATGCTTCAGGCAACTCCTCAGAGCTTTCAAAGAAGTGCCAGAGAGGCAGATGACCATGTCAACTAAACAGAAAAGAAAATTTGAAGATGTGGCAAAGGCGGACAAGGCTGGCTAGGAAAGAGAAATGAAAACTTACATCCTTCCTAAAGGGAAAACAAAAAAGAAGTTCCAGCATCCCAATGCGCCCAAGAGGCCTCCTTTGGCCTCTTCTTGTTCTATTCCAAGCATCACCCAAAAATCAAAGGAGAACATCCCAGCCTATCCGTTGTTGATGTTGCAAAGAAAGTAGGAGAGATGTGGTTATAAAACCGCTGTGGAGAATAAGCAGCCTTAGAAAAAGACACCTGCAAAGCTGGAAGAAAAATACAAAAGGGATATTGCTGCATACCGAGCTAAAGGAAAGCCTGATGTAGCAAAAATAAGGGAGCTGTCAAGGCTGAAAAAGAAAGAAAAAGAAAGAATAGGAGAAACATGAGAAAGAGGAAGAGGATGAGGGGGAAGGAAAGATGGGGAAGATGAAGATGATGAATAAGCTAGTTCTAGTAGCTTTTTTTTTGTATATAATGTATTTAACCCCCCCACACTAAATTCATTCCTTTTAAAGAAATAAATTAAAATGTAAGGCCATGTAAGATTTGTTTTTAAACTGTACAGTGTCCTTTTTTTTGCATAGTTACATACTACCCAATGTGTCTTTAGATAACTCTGTCCTGGTGGTATTTTCAATAGCCACCAACCTTGCCTGGTGCAGTATGGGGGTTATAAATTGGCATGGAAATTTAAAGCAGGCTCTTGTTGGCACACAGCACACATTAGTTATGTATGTGGATGGTAGTGCCTTCATCTTTAGTTGTCTCTGATGCAGCTTACACAAAATAGTTGCTGTTTTGTTAACTAAACACCACTGGAGCCGGGCGTGGTGGCTCATGCCTGTAATCCCAGCAATTTAGGAGGCCAGGGCAGAAGGATTGCTTGAGGTCAGGAGTTTGAGACCAACTTGGGCAATACGGCGAGACCCCGTCTCTACAAAAAATGCGAAGGTTAGTTAGCCAGGTGTGGTGGCACACGTCTGTAATCCCAGCTACACAGGGGCTGAGGCAGGAGGATCACTTGAGCCTAGGAGGCAGAGGCTACAGTGAGCTGTGATTGCACCACTGCACTCCAGCCTGGGTGACAAAGTGAGACCCAGTCTCCAAAAATAAATAAATAAATACATACATATATACCACTCAAAAGTTACAGCTGTTTTGTTGACATTCTGAATGCTTCTAAGTAAATACAATTTTTTTAATTAAAAAAAAAACACATTCCTGTGCTTGCTTCTTGTGCACATATATTAAAACTTCAATGATACAAAGAAGATTAGCATGGCCCCTACCTGAGGATGACGCACAAATTCATGAAGCGTTCTACATTTAAAAACCAAAAAATAAATTTCCTTATACAACATAAAGGGCAATAACAGAAAAGGCTAGGAAAAGTATATGTAGAAAATATATCAGAAAAAAGTTAATGCCTTTATAACATAAAGCATTGATACAAATATTATTGGAAAAAATATGAAGGTACCTGCATCTCTGCTTGCCCACCTACAGTTGTGTTCCACAGAGCAGCCCCAGGCTCCCTCCCTTCCTTCGGTCTCGCTGTCTTTTTCCCTCCCTCCCTCTGTCCCTTCCTTCTTTCCTTTCTTGCTTCCTTCTCTCTGTCTTTTGTTTTCAGACAGGGTCTCACTCTGTCACCTAGGCTAGAGTGCAGTGGCAAAATCATAGCTCACTGCAGCCCCAGTCTCCTGGGTCCAAGCGATCCTCCTGCCTCAGTGTCCCAAGTAGCTGAGACCACAGGCGTGCACCACTACACCTGGCTAATTTTTAAATTTTTTGTAAAGCCAGGGTCTTGCTTTGTTTCCAGGGCTGGTCTTGAACTCCTGGTCTTAAGTGAGCCTCCTGCCTTAGCCTCCCAAAGTGCTGGGGTTACAGGTATGAGCCACCACACCCAGCCTCCAGTCATCTTCTTAAAATTCAAAATGTCAAATCTTCAGTGATTTCCAACTGTTCCTTGGCCTGTGATTACCACCTGCTCTAGCTGTATCCATTGCCTCTGCTCTCTAAGCACACCAAGTGCTTTTCAACCTCAGGGCCTTTGCACATGCCTCTTCCTTTGGAATGTTTTTCCCAGCTTGTCCTAGCTCATCCGTTCTCCAAGTCTTGGCTTAAATGCCACACCTCAGGGATATTTTTTCTGACCAGTCCAGCCAAGGAAGACCCTGCCCTGTTTTTTTTTTTCTTGTTGTTTTCTTCATAGAACTTACCACGAATTGTGGTTATTTTAATTTTTGTTCCTTTGCTTTCTTGTGTTTTGCCTGTGTCTCTCACTACATGTCGGTTCCATGAGACCAGAGCCATGTCTGTGTAATTCTCCTTTTTATCCCCAGTGCCTAGCAGAATGCCTGGCACCTAAATGGTCTCAACAAATACTTGCTGAAGGAATGAAGTTCATTAAAAAAAGATCATGAAGTGCTTGCTTCGGCAGCATACATACTAAAATCAGAACGATACGGAGAAGATTAGCACGGCCCCTGTGCAAGGATGATGTGCAAATTCATGAAGCATTCTATATTTTTACACTGTGTGCCTGCATCTAAACACCTCATGTACCCCATAAATCTATACACCTACTATGTACTCACAGAAATTCAAAATAAATAAGAAAAAAAAAGAACAGGAAGGGGCGTGCCCTCTATTAATCTCTGAGGAGGGGGTGAGACCAGAGGTGACAGTAAGCAGTGAGGGGAAACTTGTGCTTTTTACTCTATAGAAACCTTTTTTTTTTTTTTTTGAGATGGAGTTTCACTCTTGTTGCCCAGGCTGGAGTACAATGGTGTAATCTTGGCTCACTGCAACCTCCCCCTCCTGGGTTCAAGAGAGTCTCTTGCCCCAGCCTCCTGAGTAGCTGGGATTACATGCGCCTGCCACCACACCTGGCTAATTTTTGTAGTTTTAGTAGAGACGGGGTTTCTCCATGTTGGTCAGGTTGGTCTCAAACTCCTGACCTCAGGTGATCCTCCAGTCTCTGCCTCCAAAAGTGCTGGGATTACAGGTGTGAGCCACCATGCCTGGTTTTTTGTTTTGTTTTGTTTTTTGAGACAGAGTCTCACTCTGTTGCCCAAGCTGGAGTGCAGTGGCACAATCTTGTCTCACTGTAACCTCCTCCTCCCAGGTTCAAGAAATTCTCGTGCCTCAGCACAAGGACTGGGACTACAGACACATTCCAACACAACCACTGATTTTTGTATTTTTAGTAGAGAAGGGGTTTCGCTATGTTGGTCAGGCTGGTCTCAAACTCCTGACCTCAAGTGATCCACCCACCTCAGCCTCCCAAAGTGCTGGGATTACAGGTGTGAGCCACCGTGCCTGGCCACAAACTTTCTTTTTTAAAAAACCTAGAGTCCCTTCCTTTACAATTTAAAACATAATTAAAAAGACAAGAGAAAGGGCTTCCCATTGAAAGTTTCCAGTCACCCAAGTAATGCAAATGAAAACAATGAGCTATTATTTGCTTATTGAAGTAGTGAACCTTGTTTTTAAAAAGAAGCTACCCGATGCTGTTTAGTTGTGTGGCGAAATAAATGCTCGCAGGCACAGCTGGTGCTGCTGATTTCAGCTGCTGCAGCCACGTGAAGACTCATGTGGGAGTCAGTCAGCCCACACCTGGGAACGCTGCAGAAATGATCTGAGAGGAAGGAAGAGCTATATGCACAAAGATACTCATTTCAACATGTGGATAAAAATCAAATAATAGAATTGTCTGAATGGCCCAACAGCAGGGGATTGGGTAAATATGTTAGGACACATATACAAAATGATGCTTATGTTGTAATACTAAGTAAAAAAAAAAACAAAAAAACAAAAATGGCTACAGCACGGTTTGGCTGCTACGACAGAAACTATGTAAACTCTCTCTTGCTTTCCCTTTTTTTTTTTTTAAAGACAGGGTCTTGCTCTGTTGCCCAGGCTGGAGTGCAGTGATGCAATCCTAGCTCACTACAGCCTCAAACTCCTGGGCTCAAGCCATCTTCCTGCCTCAGCCTCCCAAGTAGCTGGGACTACAGGCATGCACCACTGCACCCCGCAATTTTTAAAATTTTTAGTAAAGACAGGGGCTCATTATGTTGCCCAGGCTAGTCTTGAACTCCTGGCCTCAAGTGATCCTCCCACCTTGACCTCCCAAAGTGCTGGGAATACAGGCATGAGCCATTGCACCTGACCTAAACTCTCTCTTAAAAGAATGGAAGAAAATGTAAGAAACAACAATAACTATTATCTGGGATGGTGAGATTGTAGGTAATTTTTTCATTCTCAATAATGTTACTATTCTTTTAGAAAGGTTAATTTTATAGAACTTTTATAGTTTTTAAAAATAAATTTTAACAGAAAGAGCCAACCCCTGCACTGAATCCACTATACTAACAGTGAAGGTGATGGCCGGGTATGGTGGCTCACACCTGTAATCCCAGCACTTTGGGAGGCCAAGGCGGGTGGATTATTTGAGGTCAGGATTTCAAGACCAGACTGGCCAACATGGTGAACCCCGTCTCTACTAAAAATCCAAAAATTAGCTGAGCGTGGTGGCAGGCATCTGTAGTCCCAGCTACTTGGGAGGCTGAGACACGAGAATCACTCGAACCCGGGAGGTGGAAGTTGCAGTGAGCTAAGAATGTGCCACTGCACTCCAGCCTGGGTGACAGAGGGAGACTCCATCTCAGAAAACCAAACCAAACCAAACCAAACCAAAACAGCCGGGCGCAGTGGCTCACGCTTGTAATCCCAGCACTTTGGGAGGCCGAGGTGGGCAGATCACGAGGTCAGGAGATCAAGACCACGATGAAACCCCGTCTCTACTAAAAATACAAAAAATTAGCCGGGCGCGGTGGTGGGCGCCTGTAGTCCCAGCTACTTGGAGAGGCTGAGGCAGGAGAATGGCGTGAACCCGGGAGGCGGAGCTTGCAGTGAGCCGAGATCGAGCCACTGCACTCCAGCCTGGGCGACAGAGTGAGACTCCGTCTCAAAAAAAAAAAAAAAAAAAAACAAAAACCAAACCAAAACAAAACAGTGAGGGTGTTAGTGAAGCCTCCTTATCTCACTCTCCCAGCTCATTGGGTGCACATGTGTATGCCTTTGGAGTAGATGTGGCAGTCATCTCACCCCGTTTTCCAACAGAAGAGGCAAGGTACTGTGGCTGGCCTAAGGCCACAGTGAAAAACGACCCATCTAGAGCCAGCTTTCAGACATCCCAAACAATGCTCTCTCCCCGCACCTCAGCCTCCTAAAAGGCCTTGAGAAAGATGGCAGCGAAGCCTGAAGCTGTCCTGTCTCCCAGGACTACAGGATGTAGGAGGTGAAGCACCACTTCAGTGTGTCTCAGCCAGGCCCAGGGAGCGGGAGAGCAGCTGCCAGGGGCCCTGAGGAGTGGCTGTGCCGTGTCATCCCCCTGCTGCAGGGAAGGGACTGGGACACTCACGGAGATCCACTGCTTCCTGTCGCCGACCCACTCCTCGGCCCCTGCCAGGCGGCGTTGCTTGTACTTGGAGAGGTCTTGATAGGCCACAAACTCGTTCAGAAACAGCTTGATCCCCAGCAGCTCAGCTACCACTGGGCAGTCCTCCCACGCCACACCCATCAAGAAGGCTACAGGCCGCAGGATGTAGGAGCAGATGAGCTGAGGGCACAACGGTATGGCTGGCACCGAGGGCTGGGCCTGGGCTCTGCTAGGTCTCCAGCCACCACTCACCACCCACCTGGGGCCATCCTCTCTACAGACTGAGTGTGGTGGCCAGAAACGCACCTGGAAGCTGAGCCCTTGGATGTCCACCATGTCTCCCAGCCAGGAGAGGGCAGCATTGATAAAGTCCAGCACAGCCAGGAACGCAATCAGGTTGGCAGCGATGTTGGCGACCACCTTCACGGAGATGGCGGCCCCAGTGCTGGCTGCTTCTATGAGGTTCTGAGCATCTCTGTTGTTGGGATCAAGAATGATCATTACTGGCCTGTCTCCACAACCAGCAAGGGTCCCTATCCTATAGGCTCAAATAGGAACCCTGGAAGAGCATTTCAGAGCGGGAAATCCTAATTTTCCCTGAGACCCAGAGAGAAAAAGGGGCTGGTCAAAGCACCGGGATAAGATCCAGGTTTCTAACGCTGAACTGTCCAAGATGGAAGCCATCAGCCACACATGACAGGAGGCTGTCTGAATTGAGTTGTGTTGTACAAAATACAGAGCAGATTCTGAGGATTTAGTACCAAAAAATGCAAAATACCTCAATAATTATTATACTGGTTACATGTTGAAATGACAATACTTTGGGGTATACAGGGTTAAGTAAAATCGGTTATTAAAATCACCCATTTCTTTTCACTTTTTAAAAGACAACTACTAGAAAATGACAGGCGCCTCACATTACATTTCCATGGGACAGCGCTGCTCCAGTGCCTCAGAAAGTTGTGAGGTTGGGGTCATCCGCTGTGCCCAAGCACATGTGTCCAATGTGGTGCCTTTTCAACATTGTTTAAGGTTTAAAAGTTACCTAACAGTTATTAAGACTATGACGGGATGTTAGGAGGTGAGTGAAATCAAAGATGGCACTCAGCATGTCAATGTGTGGTTGACACCCTGGCAGTCAGAGCTCAGGCACATAGAGATGGGGGCATGGGGCCTTTCTATGACCCTCCTCAACATGTACACACACCAGGCCACAGACCAAGAACCAGGCCACACTCCCAAGCCTTGCCTGGTCCATTGTTTCCTGCTGGTCAGAGACTGGACATTAAGATGTGAGAACTGGAGTGCGCATTTTTGCAAATGCTATGGTCTGAATGTTTGTCCTTCGGAAACTCATTTTGAAACTTAATCCTCAATGTGGCAGTATTGACAGGTGGGGCCTTTAAGAGGTGATTGGGTCATGAGGGCTCTGCCCTCCTGAATGGATGAATCCATTCCTGAATGTTGGATTAATGGGATAATGGGTTATCATGGGAGTAGGACTGGTGGCTTTTTGTTTTGTTTTTGAGACGGAGTTTCGCTCTGTTGCCCAGGCTGGAGTACAGTGGTGCGATCTAGGCTTACTGCAACCTCCACCTCCCGGATTCAAGCAATTCTCGTGCCTCAGCCCCCTAAGTTGCTGGAATTACAGGCGTGAGCCTTTATGCCTGGCTAACTTTTGTATTTTAAATAGAGATGGGGTTTCACCATGTTGGCCAGGCTGGTCTTGAACTCCTGACCTTAAGTGATTTGCCTGCCTCAGCCTCCCAAAGTGCTGGGATTACAGGCATGAACCATCGCACCTGGACTTGACTGGTGGCTTCTTAAGAAGAAGAAGAGAGATCTGAGCTAGCATGCTCAGTTCCCTGCCTGGCACCCCTCAACCCCTCGCCATGTGATGCCCTGTGCCAACTTGGGACTCTGCAGAATCCCCAGCAGCAAGAAGGCTCTCGCCAGATACAACCCCTCGACCTTGGACTTCTCAGCCTCCATAACTGTAAGAAATAAATTCTTATTCTTTATAAAGTACCCAGTTTCAGGATTTCTGTTATAAGCAACAGAAAATGGACTAAGACAGCAAATGAAGCCCAAACCAGAGCAGGAAAAGTGGAGAGATGGGCCCAGGCTAGTGGAAGACAGTGATGGACAGAGAGAACGGGACCCTCTGCTTTGCTCCCCCCACCTTGTACCACTACCCTGTCTGCAGGACCTCCTGCTGTGCTCACCCATAGGTCAGTTTCACTCCTTCCTCCCTCCTAAACTTGGACTCCTCCACCTCCGGGTAGACCAGCTTGGAGAGGGCCAAGGCACAAGGGGCAGCCATCACAGAGGCTGCAATCAACGAGGTGGCATCGATCTGCAAGAGTGAGAGTGCAGGTTCTAGGTGGACAGTCAGAAGAAATGCTGGCGACCAAGGAGTGCGGCCCAGGGCAGCAAGGGCACATGTGTAGTCTGTCCCACTGATATGTCCTCATTGTCATAACTGCTGTCATCACTAATAATAATAATACCTTTTATGTGTAGAAGGTCACAGGCTATATGTATAGGACCTTCTATTTCTTCCTGGTGCTCCCTAAGTTAGGAATGACAAATATTGTTATCTTCATTTTACAGACAAGAAAACTGAGACTCCAAAGGATTAAATATGGCTTCCCAAAATAAAGGAAGAGAAGGAATTAGAGCCTATCACATCTTTTGGCTCCAAGTTCAAGGTTCTTTCTTCCTTTTTAGGCTGTCACTGTTGACCACTAATCCCCGTTAGCTGAGGTTTCCCCCTTAGTGGAGGAATTTGTAATGCTTTCAGACAAAGCTCTAGAACCTAAGAGTTGAAATGAAATGGATTTAAGAGCTAAACCAATTCCACCTTAGTGTAGGTATGTACTAGCGTAGGAAGGTACTCCCTCTCTAGGCTCTCTCTTTGAATGCTTACTGTGACGGGGAACTCACCACTGCAAGCCAACCCATCACATCCAGTCCTGCAGTTTGAGAACTCCTTCTCAGGAAATCTGCCTCTATGACAGCCACCGTTTGACCCTCAGTCTCCTTCTGGGAGCCACGCTGTGAAAACCACTCCCAGCAAGATGGCAGAGCAATGTCAGCCCCTGGGATTCTCCCTTCCTGAAGTTTTATCTTCACTGGGACCCCAAACCCTTTGCTTCTCTGTTCTTTTCCACAGAGAAATATGACACGTTTCCCCCTATCACTGTGTCATTTACCAAGCAGGGAAATCAGAACCAACTCAGACATCTAACAATGGGAGACCGGCTAAGCGTCGTCAGGCTGTCATTGAAAATGATGGTCATCAAGGCCTCACAGTGAAGTGGGAAAGGGCCCACAACATTGCAGGTAGAGAAGAACCAAAACTAGGGGCAGTGGGGAAACAAACTCCAAAATGGCGCATGAAAAGATTAGAAAGAAATACACCAAAATGGCAATGAATTGACTGTCCCTGGCTGCTGGGGCCAGGGGTGATTTTCTTTCTTGCTTTATTTTTTTTTCCAAGACAGAGTCTTGCTCTGTTGCCCAGGCTGGAGTGCAGCGGTACAATCTTGGCTCACTGTAACCTCCGCCTCCTGGGTTTAAGCAATTCTCCTCCCTCAGCCTCCAGAGTAGCTGGGGTTACAGGTGTGCACCACCACGCCCGGCTAATTTTTGTATTTTTAGTAGAGATGGCGTTTCACCGTGTTGGCCAGGCTAGTCTCGAACTCCTGACCTCGTGATCTGCCCACCTGGGCCTCCCAAAGTGCTGGGATTACAGGCATGAGCCACCATCCCCGGCCGATTTTCTTTTCTTTCTGCATTTTGGTATCTTTCTTTTCTTTCATTTTTTTTTTTTTTTTTTTTTTTTTTGAGATGGAGTCTCACTCTGTCGCCCAGTCTGGAGTGTAGTGGCGCCATCTTGGCTCACTGCAAACTCTACCTCCCAGGTTCACACCATTCTCCTGCCTCAGCCTCCCAAGTAGCTGGGACTACAGGCGCCCACCACCACGCCCAGCTAATTTTTTTTTTTTGTATTTTCAGTAAAGACGGGGTTTCACTGTGTTAGCCAGGATGGTCTCAATCTCCTGACCTTGTGATCTGCCTGCCTTGGCCTCCCAAAGTGCTGGGATTACAGGTGTTTTGGTATCTCTCAAAATGTCCACAACAATATTTTTTTTAATAAACAAAAAGCAAAATAGATGTTTCTTCTTAAAGTTTGTAATAAGCCAACTGCATTCTAAAGTGTTAAATAAAAATAAAAAGGAGGAGGGAGGTAAGTTGAAGACAGACACTCAGGCTGATAAAAGCAGAGGGCAGGCCAGGCACAGTGGCTCACGCCTGTAATCCCAGCATTTTGGGAGGCCAAGGCGGGCAGATCACTTGAGGTCAGGAGTTTGAGACCAGCCTAGCCAACATGGTGAAACCCCATCTCTACTAAGAATACAAAAATTAGGCCGGGCGTGGGGCTCACACCTGTTATCCTAGCACTTTGGGAGGCCGAGGTGGGAGGATCACAAGGTCAGGAGTTCGAGACCAGTCTGGCCAACTTAGTGAAACCCCCATCTCTAATAAAAATAGAGAAAAATTATCCGGGTGTGGTGGTGTGTGCCTGTAATCCCAGCTACTCGGGAGGCTGAGGCAGGAGAATCACTTAAACCCAGGAGGCGGAGGTTGCAATGAGCCGAGATCGCACTATTGCACTCCAGCCCAGGCAATAGTGCGAGACTCCATCTCAAAAAAAAACAAAAATTAGCCTGGTGTGGTGGTGGGTGCCTGTAATCCTAGCTATTTGGGAGGCTGAGGCACGAGAATGGGTAGAACCCAGGAGGCAGAGGTTGCAGTGAGCTGAGCACTCCAGCCCGGGCGACAGAGTGAGACTCCATCTCAAAAAAAAAAAAAAAAAAAAAGCAGAGGGCAGATCGTGGGCACCCCTCATTACCATCTCAGGGAAGTGCCAGGCCTGCTGCTGAGAAGCCAGGCTGGAGACCCTCTCAGGCTCTGAATCCCAGGTATTGTGTCCTTCTTCTTTTTCTAAACCCCAGTTGTTTCTTTTTAAAGATCGACAAAACTTCTTAAAATGTGAACAAGAATTGGCAGCAGCCTGATACCTCCCCAGGGCCCTGTGTGGACACTGGGTGTGCAAGCCTGGGCCCCTGCCCCTTGCTGGATGAAACCCACTTGGGGCAGGTGTCCTCTCTGGACTTTCTGGGCTGGGCTTTGGGACTTCCCCTGCTTCCTCCTCAGTTGCTCAGCCCCAGCTGGGATGGTGCCACACCTGGAATCTTGGGATTTTCCCTCCACCAGGCAGGACCCTGACCCTTCCTCTGACTTGTAGATTACATCTGGTTTGTAAACCTGAGTCACGGCAGAGAACACACCCTGCAGTTGTCACATTCCTGCACACTGTCCCCTGGGTGACCCAGTTGTGGTCACAGCCTCAAATGCTGCAGTTGCTAGTTTCCAGCTCATCATGGAAAGGGCTGAGTCCTGCACAGGCAGGGCTCCCTGGGCACTGGGCCAGCCCACACCCACCTCCCCACTGCCAGCTACTCTGCAGGGCTGTGACATTCCCCAGCCCTGCCTCCCAGGCACCTGGTCAGGAGAGCCTTCCATCCTAGCATCCCAGGGCCCACGCCTGCCCATAACCCTTCTCTCTCTGACCCAAAGGGTCTCGCTCTGTCACCCAGGCTGGAGTGTAATGGCATGATCATGGCTCACTATAGCCTTGACCTCCTGGGCTCAAGTGATCCTCCCACTTCAGCCTCCCCAGTACCTGGGACTATAGATGTGTGCCACCATGCCCAAGTAATTTTTTATTTTTTAAATTTTTTGTGGAGATAGGGGTCTCCCTATGTTGCCCATGCTGGTCTCAAGCTCCTGGTCTCAGCCATCCTCCTGCCTTGGCCTCCCAAAGTACTGAAATGACAGGCATGAGCCACTGCACCCAGCCTAGAAGCCACATTTTTTTTTTTTTTTTTGAAACAGAGTCTTGCTGTGTTGCTCAGGCTGGAGTGCAATGGGGCGATCTCGGCTCACTGCAACCTCTGCCTCCCGGGTTCAAGCAATTCTCCCACCTCAGACTCCTGAGTAGCTGGGGTTACAGGCACCTGACATCATACCTGGCTAATTTTTGTATTTTTGTAGAGACAGGGTTTCTCCATGTTGCCCAGGCTGGTCTTGAACTCCTGACCTCAGGTGATCCACCCGCCTCGGCCTCCCAAAGTGCTGGAATTACAGGTGTGAGCCACCGCGCCCGGCCATAGCCACATTTTAAAAAGGAAAAAGAAATAGGTTAAATTAATTTTAATAATGTCTTATTTAACTCAATATATCCAAAATATTTTCTTTCCACCCATGTAATCAATATAAAACTATCAATATGGATGACAAAATAAAAATTTAAAATTAATAAAACATCTTAAAAGTTTTTCAATACGACTAGCCTCATTTCAAGTGCTCAATAGCTATGTGTGTTTGGTGGCTACTGTACTGGACCGTGGAGATCTAGAAATATCCAGATATTAGCAATAGGAGGGATGTGCGGAGAAGGGAGCCAGAGATTGAGCAACAAAGTGGTTTTAAGAATCTGGGAGCTTGGAGGCTGGGCGCAGTGGCTCATGCCTGTAATCCCAGCAGTTTGGGAGGCCGAGGCGGGTGGATCACCTGAGGTGAGGAGTTCAAGGCCAGCCTGGCCAACATGGTGAAACCCTGTCTCTACTAAAAATACACAAATTAGCTGGGTTGGTGGCGCATGCCTGTAATCCCAGCTACTTGGGAGGCTGAGGCAGGAGAATTGCTTGAACCTGGGAGGTGGAGGTTGTAGTGAGCCGAGATTGAGCCACTGCACTCCAGCCTGGGCGACAGAGGGAGACTCTGTCTCAAAAAAAAAGAAAGAAAGAAAGAAAAGAAAGAAAGAAAAGAAAGAAAGAAAGAAAGAAAGAAAGAAAGAAAGAAAGAAAGAAAGAAAGAAAGAAAGAAAGAAAGAAAGAAAGAACGAACGAACCTGGGAGCTTGAAGGAAAGGGCAAGAGAGACCTTTCTGGGATTCAGAGGCTGAGGGCAGAGCCAAAGATACTGAGGAACTGACTGGGGAAGGAAGTTAGAGGGCGTGCAGTACAGGGCTGGTGCAGTGACTGTCATGAGCCAGGTGGGGGCAAAAGAGAGCTGCTCTGGAGAAAAGACTGGGGCAGACCCAGAGATTGAAGGGAAGGAAGGTTTGTTTGTTAGGTGCTTTTCCTCTGGGCCAGCTATAGTTGTAGTCTGGGGCTTTCAAACCAGAGACTGTAAAATGGAGGCTCAAGGGCACCTAGGGATGATCCTGGCTGCCTCTGCCCATTCTGTGCAGCTAAAGGGAAGTGGGTACCCAGGCCCTGTCAATGGGGAAGCCAGACTGCCCAGGGCTGGGCCTGGACTTTTGCCTGAGAAAGGGAAGAAAAGAGGGCTGAGTTTTAAGCCAGATTGTGGAAATGGGCGAGCATTCTTCCAGTGTTTAAGTTCTAAGTAATGACTAGGAGGAACACCAGCGTTATTCTTTTCGTTGTCTAAGGGGACCAGAACAAGGTTAAGACATTTAAAGCCCTAAGTTCTGAAAATATTATGGCATCCCCCTCCCCCAATATCCTGCCATGAAAAAAAGTTTCAGGAACAAAGTTTTGGGTTTCCATTTTTGAAATATCAAATTCCTTCTGCTGGGACTCTTAAAACAAAACCTAGAATAAAGGGCTCAGAAGTAGCCTCAGAAGAAGTTTTTCTGTCCTGCCCTCCCATTTATCAGTCCAATTCTCCTTCAAGGCTAGCCATAAAAACTAGAATTCCCCTTCTCCAAGGCAGGGCACGGAGACCAGAAGCCCTTTTCCCCAAAGCCAGCCATAAAGCCTAAAAACATTGCTTTAACTTCCCTCTGCCTTTCTGGGTAAAAAGTGGCAATAAAGAAATTATCTGACCTACTTTGTTTGAGTGTAGGTCATAAGACCCCCCCTTCCAGAGAGGATCTTGCCCCATACCCAGAAGGAAAAAATGCTCAGAGAGCCCAAGAAGAGTCTACACAGACAGGCTTTGCTGTTTTTCCTCCACTCAGTCGATTAGTATTAGATCACACTCTGTTTGTCCAATTCTATTTCTATGTGGCTATCCATACTTTGTTGAACCTGAGCGTAAAAATGGACAATTTTCCCTGTATCTTTGGGTCTTCCTTCTGAAGGCCCCCGTGTGTATGCATTAAATAAATTTGTGTGCCTTTCTCCTGTTAATCTCCCTTTTGTGAGCTGATTTTTCAGTGAACCTTCAGAGGACGTAGGGGAAATTTTCCCTTGGCCTCCACACTTCCAAAAACAATTGGTGGTGGGGTGGGTGGGTGCACCAGTTTTAATGAGCCCTTTTCTAGGCCTCAGCAAGACAGGTGCAAACCAGATGACAGTCTCTAGAATTCTAGATGGGAGGGTACCAGGCCAGAAACCAAAGCCCCTGAGCCCAAGGGGACTTCTTGAAAAGTCACGCAACAGCTGGCCCTGCCCAGACAGCTCTGTGGCATGTAGAGCTGAGCTTATTGGTGTGGTCCAGGCATCCGGAGTGAAGGAGAGATGGAGGGGCAGGCTGGCTGTTTGTTCACCCATCTCTCATCATCCCCAGGGACAGAGATGAGAGAGACAGGTGGAATTTGGGATTAAAGAAGGGGACAATGTAGGTCATTTTCTGGTCACCGCCTACCACCACCCCCCCCCTCCCCCCACCCCCCACACAGCATCCAGAGAGCCTGGGGCAGGGGCAGAGAGCCAGAAGGCAGGGCAGGGTCAATCTCCAAATCAGCACATACAGGCCACCTCACTCTCATGCTGAATGCTACCACCTTGTGTGGGGCAACTTACCCAGCTTATGACTGTACTGCTGGGCATTTAGGCTGTCCAGTTTTCTTGCTTTTGCAAATGTTGGAATTTTGCATTTCTTGAACACTTGTGAGAATATCCCTATATCACAATTTTTCTAGCTGGATCAAAGGGAAAGAATATTTTTAAAGTGATTGAAGCTGGATGCAATGGCTCATGCCTGTAATCCTAATATTTTGGGAGGCCAAGGCAGGAGGATTGCTTGAGCCCAGGAGTTCAAGACCAGCCTGAGCAACATAGCAAGATCCCGTCTCTACCAAAAAAAAAAAAAAAAAATAGCCAGGGGTGGTGGCGCACGTATGTAGTCCCAGCTACTCAGGAGGCTGAGGTGGGAGAATTGCTTGAGTCCAGGAGTTTGAGGCTATGGTGAGCTGTAATTGCACCACTGTGCTCCAGCTTGAGTAACAGAGGGAAACTCTGTCTCTCTCTATATAAATACATGTTGGTGTCATGTGGGGAGTTAAAAAACAAAAAATAAATATTTTTAATTGCTCTATATAATAAAATACAATAT